>NC_000022.11:15154318-15454318 GCF_000001405.40 Homo sapiens
GAATTCTTCTGTCTAGTTTTTATAGGAAGATGTTTCCTTTTTCAGCGTATGCATCAAAGAGCTCCAAGTTTCCACTTACAGAGTCTTCAAAAAGAATGTTTCAAAACTGCTCTATGAAAAGGAATGTTCACCTCTGTGAGTAGAATGCAAGCATCACAAAAAAGTTTCTGGGAATGCTTCTGTCTAGTTTTTATGTGAAGACATTCCCGTTTCCAACGAAAGCCTAAAAGCTATCCAAATATCCACTTGCAGATTCTACAAAAAGAGTGTTTCAAAACTGCAGTATCAACAGAAAGGTTCAACTCTGTGAGCTGAGTACACACATCACAGAGAAGTTTCTGGGAATGCTTCTGTCTAGTTTTTATGTGAAGATATTTCCTTTTTCAGCATAGGCCTCAATGGGTTCCAAATGTCCTTTTCCAGGTACTACAAAAAGAGTGTTTCAAAACTGCTCTATGAAAGGGAATGTTCAACTCTGTGAGTTGAATGCAAACATCATGAAGAAGTTTCTGAGAATACTTCTGACTAGTTTTTATGTGAAGATATTCCCATTTCCAATGAAAGCCTCAAAGCTGTCCAAATATTCCCTTGCAGATCCTACAAAGAGAGTGTTTCAAAACTACTCTAAAAAAAGAAATGTTCAACTCTGTGAGTTGAGTACACATATCACAAAGAAGTTTCTTAGCATGTTTCTGTCCTGTTTTTATTTGTAGATCTTCCGGTTTCCCGTGAAGGCCTCAAAGCTGTCCAAATATCCACTTGCAAATTCTACATAAAGAGGGTTTCCAATCTGCTCTATCAAAAGAAATGTTCAACACTGTGAGTTGAATGCACTCATCACAAAGTAGTTTCTGAGAATGCTTCGGTCTAGTATTTATGTGAAGATGTTTCCTTTTTCTCCATAGGCCTCAAAGTGCTCCAAAAGTCCCCTTGCAGATACTACAAAAATAGTGTTTCAAAACTGCTCTATGAAAGGGAATGTTCAACTCTGTGAGTTGAATGCACACATCACAAAGAAGTTTCTGAGAATGCTTCTGTTTAGTTTTCTTGTGATGATATTTCATTTTTCACCATAGGCTTCAAAGCGCTCCAAAGTCCTCTTGCAGATACTACAAAAGGAGTGTTTCAAAACTGCCCTATGAAAAATAACGTTCAACTCTGTGAGTTGCATGCAAACATCACAAAGAAGTTTCTGATAATTCTCCTGTCTACTTTTTATGTGAAGATATTCGCGTTTCCCACGAAAGCCTCAAAGTTATCCAAATATCCACTTGCAGATTCTACAAAAAGAGTGTTTCAAAACTCTCTATCAAAAGAAAGTTTCAACTCTGTGAGTTGAGTACACACATCACAAAGAAGTTTCTGAGAATTCTTCTGTCTATTTTTTATGGGAAGATACACCCGTTTCCAATGAAAGCGTCAAAGCTGTCCAAATATCCACTTGCAAATTCTACAAAAAGAGTGTTTCAAATCCGCTCTATCGAAAGTAAGTTTCAACTCTGTGAGATGAATGCACACATCACAAAGATGTTTCTGAGAATGCTTCTGTCCAGTTTTTATGTGAAGATACCCCCGTTTCCCATGAAAGCGTCAAAGCTGTCCAAATATCCATTTGCAAATTCTACAAAAAGAGTGTTTCCAATCTGCTCTATTTAAAGAAAGTTTCAACACTGTGAGTTGAATGAACATATCCCAAAGAAGTTTCTAAGAATGTTTCTATCTAGTTTTTATGTGAAGATATTCCTGTTACCAACCAAAGCTTCAAAGCTGTTCAAATATCCACTTGTAAATGCTTCAAAAATAGTGATTCAAAACTATTCTAGCAAAGGAAAGATTCATCTCTGTGAGTTGAGTACACGCATCACAAAGAAGTTTCTGAAAATGCTTTTGTCTAGTTTTTATGTGAAGATATTTCCTTTTTCACCATAGGCCACCAAGCACTCCATATCTCCACTTGCAGATTCTACAAAAAGAGTGTTTCAAAACTGCTCTATGAAAAGGAATGTTCATCTCTGTGAGATGATTGAAAGCATCACAAAGAATTTTCTGAGAATGCTTCTGTCTGGTTTTTATGTGAAGATATTCCCGTGTCCAAGGAAAGCCTTAAAGGTGTCCTTATATCCACTTGTAAATTCTACAAGAAGAGTGTTTCCAAGCTGCTCTATCAAAAGAAAGGTTTAACTCTGTGAGTTGAGTACACACATTATAAAGAAGTTTCTGAGAATGCTTCTGTCTAGTTTCTATATGAAGATATTCCCGTTT
The DNA here is from genome assembly GCF_000001405.40 of Homo sapiens. NCBI lineage: Eukaryota > Metazoa > Chordata > Mammalia > Primates > Hominidae > Homo > Homo sapiens. The sequence continues at coordinate 15,156,581 of NC_000022.11, forward strand.
CGAATGAAGGCCTCAAAGTGCTCCAAATGACAACTTACAGATTCTGAAAAAGAGTGTTTCAAAATTGCTCTATGAAAAGGAATGTTCAACTCTGTGAGTTGTGTGCACACATCACAAATAAGTTTCTGAGAATGCTTCTGACTAGTTTTTATGTGAAAATATTCTCGTTTCCAACGAAAGCCTCAAAGCTGTCCAAATATTCCCTTGCAGATCCTATAAAGAGAGGGTTTCAAAACTGCTCTATGAAAAACAAATGTTCAACTCTGTGAGTTGAGGACACGCATCACAAAGATGTTTCCCAGAATGTTTCTGTCTTGTTTTTATGTGAAGGTATACCTGTTTCCTGTGAAGGCCTCTAAGCTGTCCAAATATCCACTTGCAAATTCTACAAAAAGAGTGTTTCCAATCTGCTCTATGAAAAGAAAGTTTCCACTGTGTGAGTTGAATGCACACATCTCAAAGAAGTTTCTGAGAATGCTTCTGTCTAGTTTTTATGTGAACATATTCCCGTTTCCAACGAAGGCCACAAAGCGCTCCAAATGTCCACATGCAGATTCCACAAAAGAGTTTTTCAAAACTGCTGTATCAAAAGAAAGATTCAACACGGTGAGTTGTGTACACACATCACAAATAAGTTTCTGACAATGCTTCTGTCTAGTTTTTCTGTTAAGATATTTCCTTTTTCATCACAGGCCACAAAGCACACCAAATATCCACTTGCAGATCCTGCAAAGAGAGTGTTTCAAAACTCTGCTAACAAAAGAAGGGTTCAACTCTGTGAGTTGAGTGAACACATCACAAATATGTTTCTGAGAATGATTCTGTCTAGTTTTTATATGAAGATGCTCCCGTTTCCAATGAAATCTTCAAAGCTATCCAAATATCCACTTGCAGATTCTACAAAAAGAGTGTTTCAAAATTGCTCTATGAATAGAAATGTTCAACACTGTGCATTGAACGCAGACATCACAAGGAAGTTTCTGAGAATGCTTCTGTCTAGTTTTTATATGAAGATATTCCCGTTTCCAACGAAAGCCTCAAAGGTGTCCTAATATCCACTTTTAAATTTTACAAGAAGAGTGTTTCAAAAGTGCTCTTTCAAAAGAAAGTTTTACCTCTGTGAGTTGAGTACACACATCACTAAGAAGTTTCTGAGAATGCTTCTGTCGACTTTTTATGTGAAGGTATTACCTTTTTCACCATAGGCCTCAAAGCGCTCAATATATCCAATTCCAGATACTACAATAAGAGTGTTTCAAAACTGCTCTATGAAAGGGAATGTTCACCTCTGTGGGTTGAATGCAAACATCACCAAGAAGTTTCTGAGAATGTTTCTGTCTAGTTTTTATGTGAAGATATTCCCGTTTCCAACGAAGGCCACAAAGCACTCCAAATGTCCACGTGCAGATTAAACAAAAAGGGTGTTTCAAAACTGCTGTATCAAAAGAAAGGTTCCACTCTGTGAGTTGTCTGCACACATCACAGATAAGTTTCTGACAATACTTCTGTCGAGTTTTTATATTAAGATATTTCCTTTTTCACCATAGGCCTCAAAGCACACCGAATGTCCACTTGCAGATCCTACAAAGAGAGTGTTTCAAAACTCCTCTAACAAAAGAAAGGTTTAACTCTGTCAGTTCAATGCACACATCACAAAGGTATGTCTGATAATGATTCTGTCTAGTTTCTATGTGAAGATATTCCTCTTTCGAAAGAAGGCCTCAAAATGCTCCAAATGACCACTTGGAGATTCTACAAAAAGAGTGTTTCAAAACTCCTCTATGAAAAGAAGTGATCAAATCTGTGGGTTTAATGCAAACATCACAAAGAAGTTTTGGAGAATGCTTCTGTCTAGTTTTTATGTGAAGATATTTCCTTTTTCACCATAGGTCTCAAAGCGCTCCAAATGTCCACTTCCAGATATTACAAAAAGAGTGTTTCAAAACTGCCCTATGTAAAGGAATGTTCAACTCCGTGAGTTGAATGCAAACATTACAAAGAAGTTTCTGAAAATGCTTCTGCCTAGTTTTCATGTTAAGATATTTCCTTTTTCAACATAGGCCTCAAAGCACAACAAATGTCCACCTGCAGATTCTACAAAGACAGTGTTTCAAAGCTGCTCTACCAAAAGAAGGTTTCAACTCTGTGAGTTGAATGCACACATCACAAGGTTGTTTCTGACAATGCTTCTGTCTAGTTTTTATGTGAAGATATTCCCGATTCGAAAGAAGGCCTCAAAGTGCTACAATTGACCACTCGCAGATTCTACAAAAATTGTGTTTCAAATCTGCTCTATGAAAAGGAATGTTCAACTCTGTGAGTTGAATGCAAACATCACAAAAATTTTCTGAGAATTCGTCTGTTTAGTTTTTATATGAAGATATTTCCTTTTTCACCATAGGCCTCAAAGCGCTCCAAGAGTCCACTTACAGACTCTACAAAAAGAGAGTTTCAAAACTGTTCTATGAAAAGTAATGTTCAACTCTGTGAGTTGAATGCAAGCATCACAAAGTAGTTTCTGAGAATGCTTCTGTCTAGTTTTTATGTGAAGATATTCCCATTTCCAGCGAAGGCCTCAAAGCTGTCCAAATATCCACTTGCAAATTCTATAAAAAGAGTGTTTCAAATCTACTCTGTCAAAGGAAAGTTTCAACTCTGTGAGTTGAATGCACACATCACAAAGAAGTTTCTGAGAATTCTTCTCTCTGGTTTTTATGTGAAGATATTCCCGTTTCTAATGAAAGCCTCAAAGCTGACTTAATATCCACTTGTAAATTCTACAAAAAGTGTGTTTCAGAACAGCTCTATCAAAAGAAAGCTTTTACTCTGTGAGTTGAGTACACACATAACAAAGTAGTTTCTGAGAATGCCTCTGGCTACTTTTTACTTGTAGATATTTCTTTTTTCACCATAGGCCTCAAATCGTTACAAACGTCCACTTGCAGATTCTACAAAAAGAGTGTTTCAAAACTGCTCTATGAAAAGGAAGGGTCAACTCTGTGAGTTGGATGCAAACATCACAAAGAAGTTTCTGAGAATGCTTCTGCCTAGTTTTTATGTGAAAATATTCCCGTTTCCAATGAGAGCCTCAAATCTCTCCAAATATCGACTTGCAGATCGTACAAAGAGAGTGTTTCAAAACTTCTCTTTCAAAAGAAATGCTCAACTCTGTGAGTTGAGGACACACATCACAAAGAAGTTTCTTAGAATGCTTCTATCTTGTTTTTATGTGAAGATATTCTCGTTTCCTGCGAAGGCCTCAAATTTGTCCAAATACCCACTTGTAAATACTACAAAAAGAGTGTTTCCAATCTGCTCTATCAAAAGAAAAGTTTAACTCTGTGAGTTGACTGCACACATCTCAAAGAAGTTTCTGAGAATGCTTCTGTCTAGTTTTCCTATGAAGACATTTCCTTTTTCACTGTAGGTCTCATAGCACAACAAATGTCCACTTGCAGATTCTACAAAGAGAGTGTTTCAAAATTGCTCTATCAAAAGAAAGGTTCAACTCTCTGACTTCATTACAGATATCACAAAGAAGTTTCTGAGAATGCTTCTGTCTAGTTTTCATGTGAAGATATTTCCTTTTTCGCCATAGGCCTCAAAGCCCCCCAAATATCCACTTCCAGATACTACAAAAGAGTGTTTCAAAACTGCTCTATGAAGAGGAGTGTTCAACTCTGTGAGTTGAATGCAAGCATCACAAAAAGTTTCTGAGAATGCTTCTGATTAGTTTTTTTGTTAAGATATTTCTGTTTCACCATAGACCTCAAAGCACACCCAATGTCAACTTGCAGATTCTACAAAGAGAGTGTTTCAAAACTGCTCTATCAAAAGACGGTTTCTACTCTGTGAGTTGAATGCACACATCAGAAAGATGTTTCTGATAATGATTCTGTCTAATGTTTATGTGATGATATTTTCTTTTTCACCTTAGGCCTCAAAGCGCTCCAAATGTCCCCTTCCAGATACTACAAAAACAGTGTTTCAAAACTGCTCTATCAAAAGAAAAGATCAACTCTGTGAGTTGAGTGCACACATCACAAAGAAGTTTCTGAGAATGCTTCTGTCTAGTTTTTATGTGAAGATAGTTCCGTTTCCAAAGAAAGCGTCAATGCTGTCCAAATATCCAATTGCAAATACTACAAAAAGTGTTTCCAATCTGCTCTATTAAAAGAAAGTGTCAACACCGTGATTTGAATGCACACTTCACAGAGAAGTTTCTGAGAATTCTTCTGTCTAGTTTTTAAGTGAAGATATTCCCGTTTCCAAAGAAAGCCTCAAAGCTGTCCAAGTATCCACTTGGAAATGCTTCAAAAGGAGTGATTCAAAACTGCTGTAGCAAAAGAAAGATTCATCTGTGAGTTGAGTACACACTTCACAAAGAAGTTTCTGAGAATGCTTTTGTCTCATTTTTATGTGAAGATATTTCCTTTTTCACTATAGGCCACCAAGCGCTCCAAATGTCCACTTGCAGATTCCAGAAAGAGTGTTTCAAAACTGCTCTATGAAAAGGAATGTTCAACTCTGTGAGTTGAATGCAAACATCACAAAGAAGTTTCTGAGAATATTTCTGTCTGGTTTTTATATGAAGATATTCCCGTTTCCAAGGAAAGCCTCAAAGGTGTCCTAATATCCACTTGTAAATTCTACAAGAAGAGTGTTTCAAAACTGCTCTATCAAAGGAAAGATTTAAATCTGTGAGTTGAGTACACATATCACAAAGAAGTTTCTGAGAATGCTTCTGTCTAGTTTTTATGTGAAGATATTTCCTTTTTCACCATTGGCCTCAAAGCGCTCCAAACGTCCACTTCCAGATTCTACAAAAAGAGTGTTTCAAAACTGCTCTATGAAAGAGAAAGTTCAACTCTGTGAGTTGAATGCAAACATCACAAAGAAGTTTCTAAGAATGCTTCTCTCTAGTTTTTATGTGAAGATATTTCCGTTTCCAACGTAGGCCACAAAGCGCTCCAAATGTGCGCTTGCAGATTCCACAAAAAGAGTGTTTCAAAATTTCTCTCTCAAAAGAAAGGTTCAACTATGTGAGCTGAGTGCACACATCACAAATAAGTTTCAGAGAATGCTTCTGTCTAGTTTTTATGTTAAGATATTTCCGTTTTCACCACAAGCCTCAAAGCATACCAGATGTCCACTTGCAGATTCTACAAAGAGAGTGTTTCAAAACTGCTCTATCAAAAGAAGGGTTCAATTCTGTGAGTTGAATGCACAAATCACAAAGATGTTGCTGATAATAATTCTGTCCAGTTTTTAAGTGAAGATATTCCCGTTTGAAACGAAGGCCTCAAAGTGCTCCAAAGACCACTTGTAGATTCTGCAAAAAGAGTGTTTCAAAACTGCTCTATGACAAGGAATGTTCAACTCTGTGAGTTGAATGCAAATATCACAGTGAAGTTTCTGAGAATGCTTCTCTTTAGTTTTTATGTGAAGATATTCCCGTTTCCAACGAAGGCCACAAAGCACTCCTAATGTCCACGTGCAGATTGCACAAAAAGAGTGTTTCGAAACTGCTCTATCAAAAGATAGGTTCAACTCTGTGAGTGGAGTGCACACATCACAAATAAGATTCTGAGAATGCTTCTGTCAAGTTTTTATGTTAAGATATTTCCTTTTTCATCATAGGCCTCATGCACACCAAATGTCCACTTGCACATACTACAAAGAGAGTGTTTCAAACTGCTCTATCAAAAGAAGGGTTCAAATCTGTGAGTTTAATGCACACATCACAAAGATGTTTCTGAAAATGCTTCGGTCTAGTTTTTCTGTGAAGATATTCCCTTTTCGAAGGAAGGCATCAAAGCGCTCCAAATGACCACTTGCAGATCCTACAAAAAGAGTGTTTCGAAACTCCTCTATGAAAAGGAATGTTCAACTCTGTGAGTTGGCTGCACACATCACAAAGTAGTTTCTGAGAATGCTTCTGTCTGGTTTTTATGTGAAGACATTTCCTTTTCCACCATAGGCCTCAAAGCGCTCCAAATGTCCAAGTGCAGATTCTACAAAAAGAATGTTTCAAAACTGCTCTATGAAAAGAAATGTTCAACTCTGTGAGTTGAATGCAAAAATCAAAAAGTAGTTTACTAGAACGCTTCTGCCTAGTTTTTATGTGAAGATACACCCGTTTACAAAGAAGGCCTCAAAGCAGTCCAAATATCCACTTGCAAATTCTACAAAAAGAGTGTTTCAAAACTGCTCTTTCAAAAGAAAGGTTCAACTCTGTTAGTTGAGTGCGCACATCACAAAAAAGTTTCTGAGAATGCTTCTGTCTAGTTTTTATGGGAAGATATTCCATTTCCAGCGAAAGCCTCAAAGCTGTCCAAATAGCCATTAGCAGAATCTACAAAGAGAGTGTTTCAAAACTGCTCTATCAAAAGAAAGGTTTAACTCTGTGAGTTGAGTACACACATCACAAAGTTGTTTCTGAGTATGCTTCTATCTGGTTTTTATGTGAAGTTATTTCTTTTTCCACCATAGGCTTCAAAGCGCTCCAAATGTCCACTTGCAGGATCTACAAAAAGAGTGTTTCAAAACTGCTCTATGAAAGGGAATGTTTAACTTTGTGAGTTGAATGCAAACATCAAAAAGAACTTTCCTAGAATGGTTCTGTCTAGTTTTTATAAGAAAATAGTCCCTTTTCCAGTGATGGCTTCAAAACTGTCCAAATATCCAGTTGCAGATTCTACAAAGAGAGTGTTTCAAAACTGCTCTATCAAAAGAAGTGTTCAAATCTGTGAGTTGAGTATGCACATCACAAATTAGTTTCTGAGAATATTTCTGTCTAGTTTTTATATGAAGATACTCCCGTTCCCAGCGAAGGCCTTAAAGCTGTCCAAATATCCACTTGCAAATTCTGCAAAAAGAGTGTTTCCAATCTGCTATATCAAAAGAAAGTTTCAACACTGTGAATTGAATGCACACATCACAAGGGAGTGTCTGAGAATGCTTCTGTCTAGTTTTTTGTGAAGATATTCCCGTTTCCAACGAAAGCCTCATAGCTGTAAAATATCCACTTGTAAATGCTTCAAAAAGAGTGGTTCAAATCTGCTCTATTAAAAGATAGGTTCACTTCTGTGAGTTGAGTACACACATCACAAAGAAGTTTCTGAGAATGCTTCTGTCTAGTTTTTATGTGAAGATATTTCCTTTTTCACCATAGTCCTCAAAGCGCTTCAAATGTCCATTGCAGATTCTACAAAAAGAGTGTTTCAAAACTGCTCTATGAAAAGGAATGTTCAACTCTGTGAGTTGAATGCAAACATCGCAAAGAAGTTTCTGAGAATGCTTCTGTCTAGTTTTTATGTGAAGATATTTCCGTTTCCAACGAAAGTCTCAAAGCTGTCCAAATATCCACTTGTAAATGCTGTAAAAAGAGTGTTTCAAAACTGCTCTAGCAAAGGAAAAGTTCATCTCTGTGTGTTTAGTAAACACATCAAAAAGAATTTCCTGAGAATGCTTCTGTCTAGTTTTTATGGGAAGATATTCCCGTTTCCAACCAAAGTCTCAAAGCTATCCAAATATCCCCTTGTAAATGCTGCAAAAAGAGTGTTTCAAAACTGCTCTAGAAAAAGAAAGGTTCATCTCTGTGAGTTGAATACATGCATTACCAAGAAGTTTGTGAGAATGCCTCTGTCTAGTTTTTATGTGAAGATATTTCCTTTTTCACCATAGGCCTCAATGCACTCCGAATGTCCACTTGCAGATTCTACAAAAAGAGTCTTTCAAAACTGCTCTATGAAAAGGAATGTTCAACTCTGACTTAAATGCAAACATCACAAAGAGGTCTCTGAGAATGCTTCTGTCTAGTTTTTATGTGAATATATTCCCGTTTCCAACGAAGGCCACAAAGCGCTCCAAATGTCCACATACAGATTCTACAAAAGGAGTGTTTAAATACGCTCTATCAAAAGAAAGGTTCAATTCTGTGTGTTGAGTGAACACATCACAAAGAAGTTTCTGAGCCTGCTTCTATCTAGTTTTTATGTGAAGATATGCCCTTTACGAACGAAGGCATCAAAGCGCTTCAAATGTCCACTTGCAGATACTAAAAAGGAGTGTTTCAAAACTACTCTCTGAAAAGGAGTGTTCAACTCTGTGAGTTGAATGTAATCATCACAGAGAAGTTTCTGAGAATGCCACTGTCTAGTGTTTTGTGAACATATTCCCGTTTCCAACAAGACCCTCAAAGCTCCCAAATATTCACTTGCAGATTCTACAAAAAGAGTGCTTCAAAACTGCTCTGTCAAAAGAAAGGTTTAACTCTGTGAGTTGAGTGCACACATCACAAAGAAGTTTATGAGAATTCTTCTGTCTAGTTTTTATCTTAAGATATTTCGTTTTTCACCATATACCTCAAGCACCCCAAATGTCCACTTGCACGTTCTACAAAGAGAGTGTTTCAAAACTGCTCTATGAAAAGGAATGTTCAACTCTGTGAGTTGAATGCAAGCATGACAAAAAAGTTTCTGAGAATGCCTCTGTCTAGTTTTTATTTGAATATAATACTGTTTCCAACGAAAGGCTCAAAGCTTTCCAAACATCCAGTTGGAGATACTACAAAAAGAGTGTTTGAAACCTGCTCTATGAAAAGGAATGTTCAACTCTGTGAATTATATGCACACATAGCAAAGAAGTTTCTGAGAATCCTTCTGTCTAATATTTATGTGAATATATTCCCGTTTCCAACGAAGGCCACAAAGCGCTCTAAATGTCCACTTGCAGATTGTACTGAAAGAGTGTTTAAAAACGCTCTGTCAAATAAAGCTTCAACTCTGTGTGTTGACTGCACACATCACAAAGAAGTTTCTGAGAATGCTTCTGTCTAGTTTTTATGCTAAGATATTTCCTTTTTCACCATAGTCCTCAAAGCACACAAAATGTCAACTTGCAGATTCTACAAAGAGAGTGTTTGAAAACTGCTCTATCAAAAGAAGGGTACAACTCTGTGAGTTGAATGCACACATCACAAAGAAGTTTCTGAGAATGCTTCTGTCTAGTTTTTATGTGAAGATATGCCCGTTTTGAATGAAGTCTTCAACAAGCTCCAAATGTCCACTTCCAGATCCTACAAAAAGAGTGTTTCAAAACTGCTCTATGAAAAGGAATGTTCAACTCTATATGAGTTGAATGCAAACATCACATAGAAGTTTCTGAGAATGCTTCTGTCTAGTTTTTATGTGAACATAATCCCATTTCCAATGAAGGCTACAAAGTGCTCCAAATGTCCACTTGCAGATACTACAAAAAGAGTGTTTCAAAACTGCTCTATGAAAAGGTATGTTCAACTCTATGAGTTGAATGCAAACATCACATAGAAGTTTCTGAGAATGCTTCTGTCTAGTTTTTATGTGAAGATATTACCGTTTCCAATGAAGGCCACAAAGCTCTCCAAATGTCCACTTGCAGGTTCTACAAAAAGAGTGTTTCAAACTGCTCTATGAAAAGGACTGTTCAACTCTGTGAGTTGAATGCACACATCACAAAGAAATTCCTGAGAATGCTTCTGTCTAGTTTTTATGTGAAGATATTTCCTTTTTCACCATAGGCCTCAAAGCACTCCAGATGTCCACTTGCAGATACAATAAAAAGAGTGTTTGAAATCTCCTCTATGAAAAGGAATGTTCAACAATGTTAGTTGAATGCAGTCATCACAAAGAAGTTTCTGAGAATGATTCTCTCTAGTTTTTATGTGAAGATATTCCCGTTTCCAACGAAAGCCTGAAATGTATCCAAATATCCATTTGCAGATTCTACAAAGAGAGTGTTTCAAAACTGCTCTATTAAAAGAAAGGTTCAACTCTGTGAGCTGAGTACACACATCACAAGGAAGTTTCTGAGAGTGATTCTGTCTAGTTTTTATGTGAAGATATTTCCATTTCCACCATAGGCCTCAAAGTGCTCCAAATGTCCACTTGCAGATTCTACAAAAAGAGTGTTTCAAAACTGCTCTCTGAAAAGTAACATTCAACTCTGTGAGTTGAATGCAAATATCAAAAAGATGTTTCCTAGAGTGCTTCTATCTAGTTTTTCTGTGAAGATATTCCCGTTTCCAAAGATAGCTTCAAAGCTGTCCTAATATCCGCTTGTAAATTCTACAAGAATAGATTTTGAAAACTGCTCTATCAAAAGAAAGGTTTAACTCTCTGAGTTGAGTACACACATCACAAAAAAGTTTCTGAGAATGCTTCTGTCTAGTGTTTATGTTAAGATATTGCGTGTTTCACCATAGGCCTCAAAGCACAACAAATGTCCACTTTCAGAGGCTACAAAGACAGTGCTCAAAACTGCTCTCTCAAAAGCAGGGTTCAACTCTGTGAGCTGAATGCGCACATCATAAAGAAGTTTCTGAGAATGCTTCTGTCTAGTTATTATATGAAGATATTCCCCTTTCCAACGAAGGCCTCAAAGTGCTCCAAATGTCCACTTGCAGATTCTACAAAAAGACTGTTTCAAAACTGCCCTATGGAAAGGACGGTTCAACTCTGTGAGTTGAATGCACACATCACAAAGAAGTTTATACGAATGCTTCTGTATAGTTTTTATATGAAGATATTTCCTTTTTCACCATAGGCCTCAAAGAGCTCCAAATGTCCACTGGCAGATACTACAAAAAGAGTGTTTCAAAACTGCTTTATGAAAAGGAATGTTCAACTCTGTGAGTTGAATGCAAACATTACAAAGAAGTTTCTGAGAATGCTTCTGTCTTGTTTTTATATAAAGATACTGCCGTTTCCAGTGAAGGCCTCAAAGCTGTCCAAATATCCACTTGCGAATCCCACAAAAACAGTGTTTCCAATCTGCTCTATAAAAAGAAAGCTTCAACACAGCGAGTTGAATGCACACTTCACAAAGAAGTTTCGGAGAATGCATCTGTCTAGTTTCTATGTGAAGATATTCGCGTTTCCAACGAAAGCGTCAAAGCTTCCCAAATATCCATTTGTAAATTCTCCAAGAAGAGTGTTTCAAAACTGCTCTATCAAAAGAAAGGTTTAACTCTGTGAGCTGAGTACACACATCACAAAGAAGTTTCTGACAATGCTTCTGTCTAGTTTTTATTTGAAGATATTTCCTTTTTCACCTTAGGACCCCAAGCACTCCAAATGTCCAATTGCAATTTCTACAAAAAGAGTGTTTCAAACCTGCTCTATGAAAAGGAATGTTTAACTCTGTGAATTGAATGCAAACATCACAAAGAATTTTCTGAGAATGCTTCTGTCTAATTATTATCTGAAGATATTCCCGTTTTGAGCGAAGGCCTCAATGTGCTCCAAATGTCCACTTGCAGATTCTACAAAAAGAGTGTTTCAAAACTGCCCTATGGAAAGGAAGATTCAACTCTGTGAGTTGAATGCACACATCACAAAGCAGTTTCTGCGAATGCTTCTGTCTACTTTTTATGTGAAGATATTTCCTTTTTCACCATAGGCCTCAAAGAACTCCAAATGTCCACTTGCAGATACTACAAAAAGATTGTTTCAAGACTTCTCTATCAAAAGATATGTTCAACTCTATGAGTTGAATGCAAACATCACAAAGCAGTTTCTGAGAATGCTCCTGTCTAGTTTTTATATAAAGATACTCCCGCTTCCAAAGAAGGCCTCAAATCCGTCCAAATATCCCCTTGCAAATTCTATAAAAAGAGTGTTTCAAAACTGCTCTATGAAAACAAATGTTCAACTCTGTGAGTTGAGAGCAAACATCACAAAGAACTTTCTGAGAATGCTTCTGTGTAGTTTTTATGTGAAGATATTTCCTTTTTCACCATAGGCCTCAAAGAGCTCCAAAAGTCCACTTGCGGATCCTGCAAAAAGAGTGTTTCAACCCTGCTCTATGAAAAGGAAGGTTCAACTCTGTGAGTTGAATGTACACATCACAAAGTAGTTTCTGAGAATGCTTCTGTCTAGTTTTTATGTGAAGATATTCCCCTTTCCAATGAAGGCCTCAAAGCAGTCCAAATATCTACTTGCAGATTCTACGAAAATAGTGTTTCAAAACTACTCTACGAAAAGGGAGGTTCGACTCTGTGAGTTGAATGCAAACATCACAAAGAAGTTTCTGACAATGCTTCTGTCTAGTTTTTATTTATAGATATTTCCTTTTCCACCATAGGCCTCCAAGCTCTCCAAATGTCTGCTTGCAGATTCTACAAAAAAAGTGCTTCAAACCTGCTCTATCAAAAGAAAGGTTCAATTCTGTGAGTGGAATGCACACATCACAAAGAGATTTCTGAGAATGATTCTGTCTAGTGTTTATGTGAAGATATCCCCTTTTCCAATGAAGGCCTCAAAGCGGTTCAATTATCCCCTTGCAGATTCTACAAAAAGAGTGTTTCAAACCTGCTTTATTAAAGGAAAGCTTCAACTCTGTGAGTTGAACACACACATCACAAAGAAGTTTCTGAGAATGCTTCTATCTAGTGTTTATTTGAAGATATTCCCATTTCCAACGAAGGCTTCAAAGCGTTCCAAATATCCACGTGCAGATTCTGCAAAAAGAGTGCTTCAAAACTGCTCTATGAAGAGGTATGTTCAACCCTGTGATTTGAAAGCACACATCATAAAGTAGTTCCGAAGAATTATTCTGTGTGGTTTTTATATAATGATATTTCCTTTTCCATCATAGGCCTCAAAGCTCGCCATATGTCCACTTGAAGATTCTACAAAAAGATGGTTTCAAACCTGCTCTATGAAAAGAAAGGTTCAACTCTGTGAGTTGAATGCACACATCACAAAGCAGTTTCTGAGAATGCTTCTGTCTAGTGTTTATGTGAAGATAATCCCGTTGCCAACAAAGGCCTCAAAGCAGTGCAAATATCCACTTGCAGATTCTACTAAAAGAGTGTTTCAAAAGTACTCTATGATAAGGTATGTCCAACCCTGTGAATTGAATGCACACATCATAAGAAGTTTCTGAGAATGCTTCTGTCTAGTTTTTAATGGGAAGATATTTCCTTTTCCACCATAGGCCTCAAAGCACTCCAAATGTCCACTTGCAGATTCTGGAGAAAGAGTGTTTCAAACCTGCTCTATCAAAAGAAAGGTTCAACTCTGTGAGTTGAATGCACACAGTTCAAAAAAGTTTTTGAGAAAGCTTCTGTCTGGTGATTATGTGAAGATATTCCCCTTTGTAACAAAGGCCTCAAAGCGGTCCAAATATTCACTTGCAGATTCTACAAAAAGAGTGTTTCAAAACTGCTCTATGAAAAGGTGTGTTCAACTCTGTGAGTTGAATGCAAACATCACAATGTAGTTCCTTAGAATTCTTCTGTCTGGTTTTTATTTAAAGATATTTCCTTATCCACCATAGGCCTCATAGCTCTAAAAATGTCCGGTGCCGATTCTACAAAAAGAGGGTTTCAAACATGCTATATCAAAAGAAAGTTTCAACCCTTTGAGTTGAATGCACACATCACAAAGAAGTTTCAGAGAATGCTTCTGTCTAGTGTGTATGTGAAGATATTCCCGTTTCCAAAGAAGACCTCCAAGCGGTCCAAATATACATTTCCACATTCTACAAAAAGAGTGTTTCAAAACTGCTCTATCAAAAGAAAGGTACAACTCTGTGAGTAGAATGCACACCTCACAAAGAAGTTTCTGAGCATGCTTCTCTCTAGTTTTTATGTGAAGATATTTACTTTTCCACCATAGGCCTCAATCCTCTTCAAATGTCCCCTTGCAGATTCTACAAAAAGAGAGTGTTTCAAACATGCTCTATCAAAAGAAAGTTTCAACTCTTGGGGTTGAATGCACACATCACAAAGAAGTTTCTGATAATGCTTCTGCCTGTTTTTGTGTGAACATATTCCCATTTCCAACAAAGGCCTCAAAGCGTTTCAAATATCCACTTGCATATTCTACGAAAAGAGTGTTTCAAAACTGCTCTATGAAAAGGTATCTTCAACTCTGTGAGTTGAATGCAAACATCGTAAAGAATTTTCTGAGAATTCTTCTCTCTTATTTTTATATGAAGATATAACCTTTTCCACCATAGGCCTCAAAGCTCTCCAAATGTCAATTTGCAGATTCTACAAAAAGAGTGCTTCAAAGCTGCTCTATGAAAAGAAAGGTTCCACTCTTTGTGTTTAATGCATGCATGAAAAAGAAGTTTTTGAGAATGCTTCTGTCTAGTGTTTATGTGAAGACATTCCCGTTTCCAAAGAAAGCCTCATAGCGGTCCAAATATCCACTTGCAGATTCCGTAAAAAGAGTGTCTCAAAACTGCTCCAAGGAAAGGTATCTTCAACTCTGTGAGTTGAATGCAAACATCACAAAGACGTTTCTGAGAACGCTTCTGTCTAGTTTTTGTGTGAAGATATTTCCTTTTCCACCATAGGACTCAAAGCTCTCCAAATGTCCACTTGCAGATACTAAGAAAAGAATGTTTCAAACCTGCTCTATGAAAGGAGAGGTTCAACTCTGTGAGTTGAATGAACACATCACAAAGAAGTTTCTGAGAACGCTTCTCTCTAGTTTTTATGTGAAGATACTTCCTTTTCCACCATAGATCTCAAAGCTCTCCAAATGTCCACTTCAGATTCTACAGAATGAATGTTTCCAACCTGCTCTATCAAAAGAAAGGTTCAACTCTGTGAGTTGAATGCACACATCACAAACAAGTTTATGAGAATGCTTCCGTCTAGTTTTTATGTGAAGATATATCCTTTTCCACCATAGGCCTCAAAGAGCTCCAAATGTCCACTTGCAGATCCTGCAAAAAGAGTGTTTCAACGCTGCTCTATGAAAAGAAAGGTTGAACTCTGTGAGTTGAATGCATACATCAAAAGTAGTTTCTGAGAATGCTTCTGTCTAGTTTTTATATGAAGATATTCCCATTTCCAATGACGGCCTCAAAGCAGTCCAAATATCCACTTGCAGATTATAAGAAAAGAGTGTTTCAAAATTGCTCTATGAAAAGGGAAGTTTAACTCTGTGAGTTGAATGCAAACATCACAAAGAAGTTTCTGACAATGCTTCTGTCTAGTTTTTATTTATAGATATTTCCTTTTCCACCATAGGCCTCAAAGCTCTCCAACTGTCAACTTGCAGAATCTACAAAAAAAAGTGTTTCAGACCTGCTCTATGAAAAGAAAGGTTCAATTCTGTGAGTGGAATGCGCACATCACAAAGAAGTTTCTGAGAACGATTCTGTCTAGTGTTTATGTGAAGATATCCCCTTTTCCAACGAAGGCCTCAAAGCGGTTCAAATATCCACTTGCAGATTCTGCAAAAAGAGTGCTTCAAAACTGCTCTATGAAGAGGTATGTTCAACCCTGTGATTTGAAAGCACACATCATAAAGTAGTTCCTAAGAATTATTCTGTCTTGTTTTTATATAATGATATTTCCTTTTCCATCATAGGCCTCAACGCTTGCCATATGTCCACTTGAAGATTCTACAAAAAGACGGTTTCAAACCTGCTCTATGAAAAGAAAGGTTCAACTCTGTGAGTTGAATGCACACATCACAAAGCAGTTTCTGAGAATGCTTCTGTCTAGTGTTTATGTGAAGATAATCCCGTTGCCAACAAAGGCCTCAAAGCAGTGCAAATATCCACTTGCAGATTCTACTAAAAGAGTGTTTCAAAAGTGCTCTACGATAAAGTATGTTCAACTCTGTGAATTGAATGCACACATCATAAGAACTTTCTGAGAATGCTTCTGTCTAGTTTTTATGGGAAGATATTTCCTTTTCCACCATAGGCCTCAAAGCACTCCAAATGTCCACTTGCGGATTCTAGATAAAGAGTGTTTCAAACCTGCTCCATCAAAAGAAAGGTACAACTCCGTGAGTTGAATGCACACAGTACAAAAAAGTTTTTGAGAAAGCTTCTGACTAGTGATTATGTGAAGATATTCCTGTTTCCCACGAAGGCCTCAAAGCGGTCCAAATATTCACTTGCAGATTCTACAAAAAGAGTGTTTCAAAACTGCTCGATGAAAAGGTATGTTCATCTCTATGAGTTTAACGCAAACATCACAATGTAGTTCCTTAGAATTCTTCTGTCTGGTTTTTATTTACAGATATTTCCTTTTCCACCATAGGCCTCATAGCTCTAAAAATATCCAGTACCGATTCTACAAAAAGAGTGTTTCAAACATGCTCTATCAAAAGAAAGTTTCAACCCTTTGAGTTGAATGCACACATCACAAAGAAGTTTCTGAGAATGCTTCTGCCTGTTTTTGTGTGAACATATTCCCGTTTCCAACGAAGGCCTCAAAGCATTCCAAATATCCACTTGCATATTCTATGAAAGAGTGTTTCAAAACTGCTCTATGAAAAGGTATCTTCAACTCTTAATTGAATGCAAGCATCACAAAGAAGTTTCTGAGATTTCTTCTCTCTAATTTTCATATGAAGATATAACCTTTTACCCCATAGGCCTCAAAGCTCTCCAATTGTCAACTTGCAGATTCTACAAAAAGAGTGTTTCAAAGCTGCTCTATCAAAAGAAAGGTTCAACTCCTTGAGTTTAATGCACGCATGACAAAGAAGTTTTTGAGAATTCTTCTGTCTAGTGTTTATGAGAA
Source organism: Homo sapiens (assembly GCF_000001405.40). Taxonomy (NCBI): domain Eukaryota; kingdom Metazoa; phylum Chordata; class Mammalia; order Primates; family Hominidae; genus Homo; species Homo sapiens. The sequence goes on from NC_000022.11 coordinate 15,173,121, forward strand.
GATATTTCCGTTTCTAATGAAGACCTCATAGCCGTCCAAATATCCACTTGCAGAATCTACAAAAAGAGTGTCTCAAAACTGCTCCATGGAAAGGTATCTTCAACTCTGTGAGTTGAATGCAAACATCACAAAGACGTTTCTGAGAATGCTTCTATCTAGTTTTTGTGTGAAGATACTTCCTTTTCCACCATAGGACTCAAAGCTCTCCAAATGTCCACTTTCAGATTCTACAAAAAGAGTTTTTCAAACCTGCTCTATGAAAAGAGAGGTTCAAATCTGTGAGTTGAATGCACACATCACAAAGAAGTTCCTGAGAATGCTTCTCTCTAGTTTTTATATGAAGATACTTCCTTTTCCACCATAGGCCTCAAAGCTCTCCAAATGTCCACTTCAGATTCTACAAAATGAATGTTTCAAACCTGTTCTACCAAAATAAAGGTTCAGCTCTGTGATTTGAATGTGCACATCACAAATAATTTTACGAGAATGCTTCTGTCTAGTTTTTATGTGAAGATATATCCTTTTCCACCATAGGCCTCAAAGAGTTCCAAATGTCCACTTGCAGATCCTGCAAAAAGAGTGTTTCAACCCTGCTCTATGAAAAGGAAGGTTCAACTCTGTGAGTTGAATGCACACATCACAAAGGAGTTTCTGAGAATGCTTCTGTCTTGGGTTTATGTGAAGACACTCCCGTTTCCAATGAAGGCCTCAAAGTGGTCCAAATATCCACTTGCAGATTCTACTAAAAGAGTGTTTCAAAAGTGCTCTATGATAAGGTATGTTCAACTCTGTGAATTGAATGCACACATCATGAAAACTTTCTGAGAATGCTTCTGTCTAGTTTTTATGGGAAGATATTTCCTTTTCCACCATAGGCCTCAAAGCACTCCAAATATCCACTTGCTGATTCTAGAAAAAGAGTGTTTCAAAACTGCTCCATCAAAAGAAAGGTACAAGTCCGTGAGTTGAATGCACACAGTACAAAAAAGTTTTTGAGAAAGCTTCTATCTAGTGATTATGTGAAGATGTTCCCATTTCCAACGAAGGCCTCAAAGTGGTCCAAATATTCACTTGCAGATTCTACAAAAAGAGCATTTCAAAACTGCTCGATGAAAAGGTATGTTCATCTCTATGAGTTGAACGCAAACATCACAATGTAGTTCCTTAGAATTCTTCTGTCTGGTTTTTATTTGAAGATATTTCCTTTTCCACCATAGGCCTCATAGCTCTAAAAATATCCGGTACCGATTCTACAAAAAGAGTGTTTCAAACATGCTCTATCAAAAGAAAGTTTCAACTCTTTGAGTTGAATGCACACATCACAACGAAGTTTCTGAGAATGCTTCTGCCTGTTTTTGTGTGAACATATTCCCGTTTCCAACGAAGGTCTCAAAGCGTTCCAAATATCCACTTGCAGAATCTAGGAAAAGACTGTTTCAAAACTGCTCTATGAAAAGGTATGTTCAACTCTGAGTTGAATGCAAGCATCACAAAGAAGTTTCTGAGAATTCTTCTCTCTAATTTTTATATGAAGATATAACCTTTTACACCATAGGCCTCAAAGCTCTCCAAATGTCAACTTGCAGATTCTACAAAAGGAGTGTTTCAAAGCTGCTCTATCAAAAGAAAGGTTCAACTCTTTGAGTTTAATGCACGCATGACAAAGAAGTTTTTGAGAATGCTTCTGTCTAGTGTTTATGAGAAGATATTTCTTTTTCTAATGAAGGCCTCATAGCGGTCCAAATATCCACTTGCAGATTCTACAAAAAGAGTATCTCAAAATTGCTCCATGGAAAGGTATCTTCAACTCTGTGAGTTGAATGCAAACATCACAAAGACGTTTCTGAGAATGATTCTGTCTAGTTTTTGTGTGAAGATATTTCCTTTTCCACCATACGCCTCAAAGCTCTCCAAATGTCCACTTACAGATTCTACAAAAAGAATATTTCAAATCTACTATATCAAAAGAAACCTTCAACTCTTTGTGTTTAATGAACACATCACAGAGTTGTTTCTGAGAATGCTTCTGTGTAGTTTTTATGAGAAGATAATTCCTTTTCCACCATAGGCCTCAAAGCTCTCCAAATGTCCACTTGCAGATTCTACAAAAAGAGTGTTTCAAACCTGCTCTATTAAAAGAAAGGTTCAAATCTTTATGTTGAATACACACATCACAAAGAAGTTTCTGAGAATGCATCTGTCTAGTTTTTATGTGAAGATATTCCTGTTTCCAATGAAGGCCTCAAAGCGGTCAAAATATCCACTTGCAGATTCTACTAAAAGGGTGCTTCAAAACTGCTCTATGACAAAGTATGTTCAACTCGGTGAGTTGAATGCACACATCACAAAGAAGTTTCTGAGAACGCTTCTGTCTAGTTTTTATGTGAAGATATTCCCTTTTAAAATGAAGGCCTCAAAGTAGTCCAAATATCCACTTGTAGAGTCTACAAAATGAGTGTTTCAAAACTGCTCTATGAAAAGGGATTTTGAACTCTGTGAGTTGAATGCAAACATCACAAAGATGTTTCTGAGAATGCTTCTGTCTAGTTTTTATGTGAAGATATTTCCTATTCCACCACAGGCCTCAAAGCGTTCCAAATGTCCAGTTGTAGATTCTACAAGAAGGATGTTTCATACCTGCTCTATGAAATAAGGTTAACTCTGTGAGTTGAATGCACTCAGCACAAAGAAGTTTTTGAGAAAGCATCTCTCTAGTGATTATGTGAAGATAATCCCGTTTCCAACGAAGACCTCAAAGCGGTCCAAATATCCACTTGCAGCTTCTACTACAAGAGTGTTTCAAAACTGCTTTATGATAAAGTATGTTCAACTCTGTGAGTTGAATGCAAACCTCACAAACTAGTTTCTGAGAATGCTTCTATCTAGTTTTTATGTGAAGATATTCCCGTTTCCAACGAAGTCCTGAAAGCTATCCAAATATCCATTTGCAGCTTCTACATAAAGAGTGTTTCAAAACTGCTCCATGAAAAGTTATGTTCAACTCTGTGTTTTGAATGCAAACATCACAATGTAGTTTCTGAGAATGCTTCTGTCTACTTTTTATGTGATGATATTTCCTTTTGAACCATAGGCTTCAAAGCTCTCAAAATGTCGAACTGCAGATCCTACAAAAAGAGTGTTTCAAACCTGCTCTATCAAAAGAAAGGTTAAACTCTGTGAGTTGAAAGCACACATTACAAAGAAGAGTCTGAGAATCCTTCTGTCTACTGTTTATGTGAAGATATTCCCATTTCCAACGAAAGCCTCAAAGCGGTCCAAATATCCACTTGCAGATTCTACAAAAAGAGTGTTTCAAAACTGCTCTAGGACAAGGTATGTTCAACTCTGTGTGTTGAATGCAACCACCCTAAAGAATTTTCTGAGAATGCTTCTGTCTAGTTTTTATGTGAAGATATTCCCGTTTCCAACGAAGGCCTCAAAGCGTTCCAAATATCCGCTTGCAGATTCCACGAAGAGTGTTCCAAAACTGCTCTGTTAAAAGGTATGTTCAACTCTTTGAGTTGAATGCAAACGTCACAAAGATGTTTCTGAGAATTCTTCTGTCTAGTTTTTATATGATGATATCTCCTTTTCCACCACAGGCCTCAAAGCTCTCCAAATGTGCACGTGCAGATTCTGCTAAAAGAGTGTTTCAAAGCTATTCTATGATAAGGTACGTTGAAATCTGTGAGTTGAAAACAAACATCACAAAGAAGTTTCTGAGAATGCTTCTGTCTATTTTTTATGTGAAGATATTCCCCTTTCCATAGAAGGCCTCAAAGCGGTAAAAATATCCACATGCACATTCTACTAAAAGAGTGTTTCAAAACTGCTCTATCAAAAGGTATGTTCAACTCTGTGAGTTGAATGCAAGATCACAAAGAATTTTCTGAGAATTCTTCTGCCTGCTTTTTATATCAAGATACTTCCTTTTCCACCATAGGCCTCAAAGCTCTCCAAAAGTTCACTTGCAGATCCTCCAAAAAGATTGTTTCAAACCTGCTCTATCAAAAGAAAGGTTCAACTCTGTGAATTGAATGCACATATCACAGAGAAGTTTCTGGGAATGCTTCTGTCTAGTGTTTATGTAAAGACATTCCCGTTTTCAACGAAGGCCTCAAAGCAGTCCAAATATCCATTTGCAGTTTCTTCAAAAAGATTGGTTCAAAACTGCTCTATCAGAGAAAGTTCAACTCTGTGAGTTTAATTCACACATCACAAAGAAGTTTCTCAGAATGCTTCTGTCTAGTTTTTATGTGAAGCTATTTCCTTTTCCACCCTAGGCCTCAAAGCAGTTCAAATGTCAACTTGCAGATCCTACGAAAAGAGTGTTTCAAAACTGCTCTATGAAAAGGAAGGTTTAACTCTGTGAGTTTAATGAAAACACCACAAAGAAGTTTCTGAGTATGCTTCTGTCTAGTTTTTATGTGAAGATATTTCCTTTTCCAGCATAGGCCTCAAATCACTCCAAATGTCCACTTGCAGATTCTACAAAGAGAGTGTTTCAAACCAGCTCTATCAAAGGAAAGGTTCAACTCTGTGATTTGAATGCACACATCACAAAGGAGTTTCTGAGAATGCTTCTCTCTAGTGTTTATGTGTAGATATTCCCATTTCCAATGAAGGCCTCAAAGCGGTCTAAATATCCACTTGCAGATTCTACAAAAAGTGTGTTTCTAAACTTCTCCATGAAAAGGTATGTTCAACTCTGTGAGTTAAATACAAACATCCTTAAGAAGTTTCTGAGAATGCTTCTGTCTAGTTTTTGTGTGAAGATATTTCCTTTTCCACCATATGCCTCAAAGCTCTCCAAATGTCAACTTGCAGATTCTACAAAAAGAGTGTTTCAAACCTGCTCTATCAAAAGAAAAGTTCATCTCTGTGAGTTGAATGCACACATCACTAAGAGGTTTCAGAGAATGCTTCTGTCTAGTCTTTATGTGAAGGTATTCCCGTTTCCAACGAAGGCCTCAGAGCAGTCCAAATATCCACTTGCGAAGTCTACTAAAAGAGTGTTTCAAAACTGCTCTATGATAAGGTATGTTCAAATCTGTGAGTGGAATGCAAACATCACAAAGAAGTTTCTGAGAATGCTTCTGTCTAGTTTTTATGTGAAGTTATTTTCTTTTCCACCATTGGCCTCAAAGCGCTGCAAATGTCCTCTTGCAGATTCTACAAAAAGAGTATTTCAAACCTGCTGTATCAAAAGAAAGGTTCAATTCTCTGAGTTGAATGCACACATCACAAAGGAGTTTCGAAGAATTCTTCTGTCTGGTTTTTATGTAAAAATATTTCCATTGCCACCGTAGGCCTCAGAGCGATCCAAATGTCCACTTGCAGATTATACAAAAACAGTGTCTCAAAACTGCTCTATCAAAAAGAAGGTTCAACTCTGTGAATTGAATGCACACATCACAAAGAAGTTTCTGAGAATGCTTCTGTCTAGTGTTTATGTGAAGGTATTCCCGTTTCCACCGAAGGCCTCAAAACACTCCAAATATCCACTTGCAGATTCTACAAAAAGTGTGTTTCAAAACTGTTCTGTTAAGAGGAATGGTGAACTCCATGAGTTGAATGCACAAATCACAAAGAAGTTTCTGAGAATGCTTCTGTCTAGTTTTTGTGTGATGATATTTCCTTTTCCAACATAGGCCTCAGAGCAGTCCAAGTATCCACTTGCAGATTCTACAAAAAGAGTGCTGCAAACCTGCTCTGACTAAAGGAATGTTCAACTCTTTGAGTTGAATGCACACATCACAAAGTAGTTTCTGTGAATGCTTCTATCTAGTTTCTGTATGAACATATTTCCTTTTCTACCATAGGCCTCAAAGCGCTCCAAATATCCACCTGCAGATTCTACAAAAAGAGTGTTTCAAAACTGCTCTACCAAAAGGAAGTTTCAACTCTCTGAGTTTAATGCACACAGCACAAAGAAGTTTCTCTGACTACTTCTGTGTTGTTTTTATTTAAAGATATTTCATTTTCCAACACAGAGCGCAAAGGGCTCCAAATATCCACTTGCAGTTTCTTCAAAAGAGAGATTCTAAACTGCCCAATCAAAAGATAGGTTCATCTCTGTGAGTTGAATGCATACATCACAAAGAAGTTTCTCTGAATGGTTCTGTGTAGTTTTATTTAAAGATAATTCCTTTTCCACCATAGGGCACAATTGGCTCCAAATATCCACTTGTAGATTCTACAAAACCAGAGATTCAAAACTGCTCATTGAGAAGATAATTTCAACTCAGTGATTTGAATGTACACATCACTAAGAAGTTTCTTAGAAAGCTTCTGTGCAGTTTTTATGGAAGATATTTCCTTTTCCACCATAGGGTGCATAGGGCTCCAAATATCCTCTTGCAGATTCTAGAAAAAGAGAAACTCTAAACTGCTCAATCAACAGATAGGTTCAACTCTGTAAGTTGAATGCCCACATCACAAAGAAGTTTCTCAGAATGCTTCTGAGTATTTTTTATGGGAAGATGTTTCCTTTTCCACAATAGGCCTCAAAGTTCTCCAAATATCGACTTGAAAATTCTACAAAAACGGTGTTTCAAAACTGCTCAATGAAAAGAAAGTTTCAACCCTGTGAGATGAATGCACACATCACAAAGTAGTTTCTCAGAATGCTTCTGTGTTGTTTTTATGTGAAGATATTTCCTTAACACAATGGGCCTCAGTGGGCTCCAAATATCCACTTCCATATTCTACAAAAAGAGTGTTTCAAAACTGCTCAATCATGAGATAAATTCATCCCTGTGAGATGAATTCACACGTCACGAAGTAGTTTCTCAGAATGCTTCTCTGTAATTTTTATGTGAGGATATTTGCTTTTCCACAGTAGGCCTCAAAGGGCTCCAAATATCCACTTGCAGATTCTGCAAAAAGAGAGGTTCAAAACTGCTCAATCAAAAGATACTTTCAACTCTGTGAGTTGAATGCACACATCACAAAGAAGTTTGTCTGAATGTTTCTGTGTAGTTTTTATTTCAAGATATTTCTTTTTCCACCATAGGGCTCAAAGGGCTCCAAATATCCACTTGCAGATTCTACAAAAAGAGAGATTCAAAACTGCTCAAAGAGAAGATAAGATCAACTCTGTGAGTTGAATGCACACCTCACAAAGAAGTTTCTCAGAATGCTTCTGTTTAGTTTTTATGTGAACATATTTGATTTTCCACAGTAGGCCTCACAACGGTCAAAATATCCACTTGCAGATTGTGCAAAAAGAGAGATTCAAAACTGTTCAATCAAAAGATAGGTTCAACTCTGTGAGTTGAATGCATACATCACGAAGAAGTTTCTGAGAATGCTTCTGTGTAGTTTTTATTTGAAGTTATTTCCTTTTCCACAGTAGGCCTCGAAGGTCTCCAAATATCCACCTGCAGATTCTTCATAAAGAGAGATTCAAAACTGCTCAAACAAAAGATAAGTTCACCTCTGTGAGTTGAATGAACACATCACAAAGCAGTTTCTCTGAATGCTTCTATATAGTTTTTATTTGAAGATATTTCCTTTTCCACCATAGGGTGCAAAGGGCTCCTAATATCCACTTGCAGATTCTACAAAAAGAGAGATTCAAAACTGCTCAATCAAAAGATAGGTTCAACTCTGTGAGTTGAATGCACACATCACAAAGAAGTTTCTCAGAATCTTTCTTTGTAGTTTTCATGTGAACATATTTGATTTTCCACAGCAGGCCTCAAAAGGCTCCAAATATCCACCTGCAGATTCTGCAAAAAGAAGTATTCAAAACTGCTCAATCAAAAGATAGGTTCAACACTGTGAGTTGAATGCATACATCAGAAAGAAGTTTCTCTGAATGATTCTGTGTAGTTCTATTTGAAGATAATTCCTTTTCCACCATAGGGCAAAAAGGGCTCTAAATATCCACTTGCAGAATCTACAAAAACAGAGATTCAAAACTGCTCATTGAGAAGATAAGTTCAACTCAGTGGGTTGACTGTACACATCACGAAGAAGTTTCTTAGAATGCTTCTGTGTAGTTTTTATTGAAGATATTTCCTTTTCCACCATAGGGTGCAAAGGGCTCCAAATATCCTCTTGCAGATTATAGAAAAAGAGAGACTCTAAACTGCTCAATCAAAAGATAGGTTCAACTCTGTGAGTTGAATGCCCACATCACAAAGAAGTTTCTTGGAATGCTTCTGAGTAGTTTTTATGTGAAGATGTTTCCTTTTCCACAATAGGCGGCAAAGTTCTCCAAATATCCACTTGCAGATTCTACAAAAACGGTGTTTCAAAACTGCGCAATGTAAAGAAAGGTTCAACTCAGTGAGATGAATGCACACATCACAAAGAAGTTTCTCAGAATCCTTCTGTGTTGTTTTTATGTGAAGATATTTTCTTTACACTATAGGCCTCAATAGGCTCCAAATATCCACTTCCATATTCTACAAAAATAGTGTTTCAAAACTGCTCAATCATGAGATAGATTCAACCCTGTGAGATGAATGCACACGTCACTAAGTAGTTTCTCAGAATGCTTCTGTGTAATTTTTATGCGAAGATATTTGCTTTTCCACAGTAGGCCTCAAAGGGCTCCAAATATCCACCTGCAGATTTTGCAAAAAGAGAGATTCGAAACTGCTCAATCAAAAGATACGTTCAACTCTGTGAGTTGAATGCATACATCACAAAGAAGTTTGTCTGAATGCTCCTTTGTAGTTTTTATTTCAAGATATTTCCTTTTGCACCACAGGGCTCAAAGGGCTCAAAATATCCACTTGCAGATTCTACAAAAAGAGAGATTCAAAACTGCTCAATGAGAAGATAAGATCAAATCTGTGAGTTGAATGCACACCTCACAAAGAAGTTTCCCAGAATGTTTCTGTGTAGTTTTTATGTGAAGATATTTCCTTTTCCACAATAGGCCTCCAAGCTCTCCAAACATCCACATACAGGTTCTGCAAAAAGAGAGATTCAAAACTGCTCAATCGAAAGATAGGTTCAACTCTGTGACTTGAATGCACACATCGCAAAGAAGTTTCTCAGAATCTTTCTGTGTAGTTTTTATGTGAACATATTTGATTTTCCACAGTAAGCCTCAAAAGGCTCCAAATATCCACCTGCAGATTCTGCAAAAAGAGGGATTCAAAACTGCTCAATCAAAAGATAGGATCAACTCTGAGTTGAATGTATACATCACAAAGAAGTTTCTCTGAATGGTTCTGTGTAGTTTTATTTGCAGATATTTCCTTTTCCACAATAGGGTGAAAGGGCTCCAAACATCCACTTCCAGATTCTACAAAACAGAGATTGAAAACTACTCAATGAGAAGATAAGTTCAACTCAGTCAGTTGAATGCACACATCACGAAGAAGTTTCTTAGAATGCTTCTGTGTAGTTTTTATTGAAGATATTTCCTTTTCCACCATAGGGTGCAACGGGTTCCAAATATCCACTTGCAGATTCTAGAAAAAGAGTGACTCTAAATTGCTCAATCAAAAGATAGGTTCAACTCTGTGAGTTGAATGCCCATATCACAAAGAAGTTTCTCGGAATGCTTCTGAGTAGTTTTTATGTGAAGATATTTCCTTTTCCAAAATAGGCCTCAAAGTTCTCCAAATATCCACTTGCAGATTCTACAAAAAGAGTGTTTCAAAACTGCTCAATCAAAATAAAGGTTCAACTCTGTGAGATGAATGCACACATCACAAAGAAGTTTCTCAGAATGCTTCTGTGTAGTTTTTATGTGAAGTTATTTCCTTTTCCACCATAGGCCTCAAAGCTCTCCCAACACCCACTTGCAGAATCTGCAAAAAGAGAGATTCAAAACTGCTCAATTGAAAGACAGGTTGAACTCTGTGAGTTGAATGCATACAGCACAAAGAAGTTTCTCAGAATGCTTCTCTGTAGTTTTTATGTGAACATATTTGATTTTCCACAGTAGGCCTCACAGCGCTCCAAATATCCACTTGCAGATTCTACAAAAAGAGAGATTCAAAACTGTTCAATCAAAAGATAAGTTCAACTCTGTGAGTTGAATGCATACATCATGAAGAAGTTTCTGAGAATGCTTCTGTGTAGTTTTTATTTGAAGATATTTCCTTTTCCACCATAGGCCGCAGAGGGCTCCAAATATCCACTTGCAGATTCAGCAGAAAGAGTGTTTCAAAACTGCTCAATCAAAAGAAAGTTTCAACTCTATGAGATGAATGCACACATCACAAAGAAGTTTCTCAGAATGCTTCTGTGTAGTTCTTATTTGAAGATATTTGGTTTTCCACTGTAGACCTCAAAGCGCTCCAAATATCCACTTGAAGATACTACAAAAAGAGTGTTTCAAAACTGCTCAATCATAAGCTAAGTTCAACCCTGTGAGATGAATGCACACATCACAAAGCAGTTTCTCTGAGTGATTCTGTGTAGTTTTTGTTTGAAGATATTTCCTTTTCCACCATAGGGTTCAAAGAGCTCCAAATATCCACTTGGAGATTCTACCAAAAGATAAATTCAAAACTGCTCAATGAGAAGATAAGTTCAACTCTGTCAGTTGAATGCACACCTCACAAAGTAGTTTCTCACAATGCTTCTGCATAGTTTTTATGTGAAGATATTTGCTTTTCCGCTGTAGGCCTCAAAGGGCTCAAATATCCACCTTCAGATTGTGCAAAAAGAGAGATTCAAAACTGCTCAATCAAAAGATAGGTTCAACTCTGTGAGTTCAATGCACATATCACAAAGAAGTTTCTCTGAATGCTTCTGTGTAGTTTTTATTTCAAGATATTTCCTTTTCCACCATAGGGCTCAAAGGTCTTCAAATATCCACTTGCAGATTCTACAAAAAGAGAGATTGAAAACTCCTCAAAGAAAAGATAATTTCAACTCTGTGAGTTGAATGAACACCTCACAAAGTAGTTTCTCAGAATGCTTCTGTGTAGTTTTTATGTGAAGATATTTCCTTTCCCACAATAGGCCTCAAAGCTTTCCAAACATACACTTGTAGTTTCTGCCAAAAAGAGAGATTCAGAACTACTCAATCAAAATGCAGTTTCAATTCTGTGAGTTGAATGCAAACATCACAATGGTGTTTCTCAGAATGCTTCTGAGTAGTTTTTATGTGAAGATATTTCCTTTTCCACAATAGGCTTCAAAGAACTCCCAATATCCACTTGCAGTTTCCACGAAGAGAGTGTTTCAAAACTGCTCAATCAAAAGAAAGTTTCAACTCTGTGAGATGAATGCACACATCACAAAGGAGTTTCTCAGGTTGCTTCCTTGTAGATTTTATGTGAAGATATTTCCTTTTCTATCATAGGCCGCAAAGCGCTCCAAATGTCCACTTGCCGATTCTACAAAAAGGGTGTTCCCAAACTATGCAATCAAAAGAAAGGTTCAACTCTGTTAGATGAACGTACACATCATAAAAAAGATTCTCAGAATTCTTCTTTTTTTGTGTGTGAAGATATTTCCTTTTCCAACTTAAGCCTCAAGGTGCTTGAAATGTCCCCTTGCAGATTATCCAAAAAGAGTATTTGAAAACTGGGTCTCCTAAAGAAAGTTAGAACTCCAGGAGATGAATGCAGACATCACAGAGAACTTTCTCAGAATGCTTCTATCTACTTTTTATGTGAAGATATTTCCTTCTCCACCACAGGCCTCAAAGTGCTGACAAATGTCCACTTGCAGATTCTACAAAAAGAGAGTTTCCAATCTGCTCAACCAAAAGAAAGGTTTAACTCTGTGAGATTAATGCACGCATCACAAAGAAGTTTCTCAGATTGCTTCTGTCTAGATTTTATGTGAAGATATTTCCTTTTCTACCATTGGCCACAAAGAGTTCCAAATGTCCACTTGCAGATTCTACAAAAAGAGTGTTTCCAAACTACTCAATCAAAAGAAACGTTCAACTCTGTGAGATGAACACACTCGTCACAAAGAAGTTTCTCAGAATTCTTCTGTCTAATTTTTATGTGAAGATATTTCCTGTTCCACCATAGGCCTCAAGACGCTCTAAATGTCCACTTGCAGATTCTACAAAAAGAGAGTTTCAAAACTGCTCAATCAAAAGAAACGGTTATCTCTGTGAGATGAATGCATATATCACAAACAAGTTTCTCATATTGCTTCTGTCTAGATTTTATGTGAAGATATTTACTTTTCTACCATAGACCACAAAGTGCTCCAAATGTCCACTTGCAGACTCTAAAAGAAAGAGTGGTACCAAACTGCTCAACCAAAAGAACGGTTCCACTCTGTGAGAAGAACGCACACATCAAAAAGAAGTTTGTCAGAATTATTCTTTCTAGTTTTTATGTGAGGATATTTCCTTTTCCACCATAGGCCTCAAAGCGTTCCAAATGTCCACTTGCAGATTCTACAAAAAGAGAGTTTCAAAACTGCTGAATCAAAAGAAAGTTTAAACTCTGTGAGATGAATGCACCCATCACTAAGAAGTTTCTCCGATTGCTTCTCTCTAGATTTTATGTGAAGGTATTACTTTTTCTACCATAGGTCGCAAAGTGCTTCAAATGTCCATTTGCAGATTCTACAAAAAAGAGTGTTTCCAAACTGCTCAATCAAAAGAAAGGTTCAAGTCTGTGAGATGAAAGCACACATTCCCAAGAAGTTTGTCAGAATTCTTCTGTCTAGTTTTTATGTGAAGATATTACCTTTTCCACCACAGTCCTCAAAGCGCTCCAAATGTCCACTTGCAGATTCTACGAAAAGAGAGTTTCAAAACCGTTCAATCAAAAGAAAGGTTTACTCTGTGAGATGAATGCACACACCACAAAGAGGTTTGTCAGATTGCTTTTATCTAGATTTTATGTGAAGATATTTTCTTTTCTACCATAGGCCACAAAGCGCTCCAAATGTCCAGTTGCAAATTCCACAAAAAGAGTTTTTCCAAACTGCTTAATCATAAGAAAGGTTCAACTCTGTGAGATAAACGCATGCATCTCAAAGAAGCTTCTCCAAATTCTTCTGTGTAGTTTTGATGTAAAAATATTTCCTTTTCCTCCACAGGCCTCAAAGCGCTCCAAATGTTAACTTGCAGATTCTACAAAAAGAGAGATTCAAAACTGCTCTATCAAAACAAAGGCTTAACTCTGTGAGATCAGTGCACACATCACAAAGAAGTTTCTAAAAATGCTTCTGTCTAGTTTCTATGTGAAGATATTTCCTTTTCCACCATAAGCCTCAAAGCACTCCAAATGTCCACTTCCACATTCAACAAAAAGAGAGTTTCAAAACTGCTCAATCAAAAGTAAGAGTTAACCCTGTGAGATGAATGCACACATCCCAAGGAAGTTTCTCACATTGCTTTTGTCTAGATTTTATGTGAGGATATTTCCTTTTCTAACATAGGCTGCAAAGTGCTTCAAATGCCTACTTACAGAATCTACAAAAAGAGTGCTTCCATAATTCTTAATCAAAAGAAAGGTTCAACTCTGTGAGATGAATGCACACATCACAAAGAAGTTTCTCAGAATTCTTCTCTCTAGTTTTTAGGTGAAGATATTTCCTTTTCCACCATAGGCCTCAAAGCACTCCAAATGTTCACTTGCAGATTCTACAAAAAAAGAGTTTCAAAACTGCTCAATCAAAAGATTGCTTTAACTCTGTGAGATGAACGCACACATCACAAAGAGGTTTCTCACATTGGTTCTGTCTAGATTTTATGTGAAGATATTTCCTTTTATAACATAGGCAACAAAGCACTCTAATAGTCCACTTGCAGATTCTACAAAAAGAGTGTCTGCAAACTGCTCAATCAAAAGGAAGTTTTAACTCTGTGAGAAGAACGCACACATCACAAAGAAGTTTCTCAGAATTCTTCTGTCTAGTTTTTATGTGAAGATATTTCCTTTCCCACTGTAGGCCTCAAAGCACTCAAAATGTCCACTTGCAGATTCTACAAAAAGAGAACTTCAAAACAACTCAACCAAAAGAAAGGTTTAACTCTCTGAGATGAATGCACACATCACAAAGAAGTTTCTGAGATTTCTTCTGTCTAGATTTTATGTGAAGATATTTCCTTTTCTACCATAGGCAACAAAGCACTCCAATAGTCCACTTGCAGATTCTACAAAAAGAATGTTTCTAAACTGCCCAATCAAAAGGAAGGTTCAACTTTGTGAGATAAACGCATACATCACAAAGGAGATTCTCAGAATTCTTCTGTCAAGTTTTTATGTGAAGATATTTCCTTTTCCACCATAGGCCTCAAAACGATCCAAATGTCCACTTGCAAATTCTACAAAAACAGTGTTTCAAAACTGCTCAGTCAAAAGAAAGTTTGAACTCTGTGAGATGAATGCACACATGCCAAAGGAGTTTCTCAGATTCCTTCTGTCTAGATTTTTTTGAAGATATTACCTTTTCTACCATAGTCCACATAGTGCTACAAATGTCCACTTGCAGAATCTCCAAAAAGAGTGTTTCCAAACTGCTGAATCAAAAGAAAGTTTCAACTATTTGAGTTGAAGTCACACATCACAAAGAAGATTCTGAGAATACTTCTGTCTAGTTTTTATGTGAGGATATTTCCTTTTCCATTATAGGCCCAAAAGCGCTACAAATGTCCACTAGCGGATTCTACAAAAAGAATGTTTCAGAACTTCTCAATCAAAAGAAAGGTTTAACTCTGTGAGTTGAATGTACACATCACAAAGAAGTTTCTGAAAATGCTGCTGTCTAGATTTTATGTGAAGATATTCCTGTTTCCAAGGAGGGCCTCAAGGGGTACCTAATATCCACTTGCAGATTCTACTAAAGGAGTGTTTCAAAACGAATCTATGATAAGGTATGTTCCACTCTGTGAGTTGAAGGCAAACATCAAAAAGAAGTTTCTGAGAATGCTTCTCTCTAGTTTAGATGGGAAGATATTTCCTTTTCCACTATAGGCCTCAAAGTGTTCCAAGTGTCCACTTGCAGATTCTACAAAAAGAGTGTTTCAAAACTGCTCTATCAAAAGAAAGTTTCAACTCTGTGAAGTGAATGCACACATTACAAACAAGTTTCTGAGAATGCTTCTGTCTAGTTTTTATGTGAAGATATTCCCGTTTCCAATGAAGGCCTCAAAGCAGTCCAAATATCCACTAGCATATTCTACAAAAAGAGTGTTTCAAAGCTTCCCCATGAAAATGAATATTCAACTCTGTGAGTAGAATGTAGATATTACAAAGAAGTTTCTGAGAATGCTTCTGTCTAGTTTCTATGTGAAGATATTTCCTTTTCCACCATAAGCCTCAAAGCGCTCTAAATGTCCACTTCCACATTCAACAAAAAGAGAGTTTCAAAACTGCTGTATCAAAAGAAAGGTTCAACTCTGTGAGTTGCATGCAAACATCACAAAGAAGTTTCTGAGAATGCTTCTGTCTAGATTTTATGTGAAGATATTTCCTTTTCTAAGTTAGGCTGCAAAGCGCTTCAAATGTCCACTTACAGAATCTACAAAAAGAGTTTTTCCATAATTCTCAATCAAAAGAAAGGTTCAACTCTGTGAGATGAACGCACACATCACAAAGAAGTTTCTCAGAATTCTTCTCCCTAGTTTTTATGTGAAGATATTTCCTTTTCCACCATAGGCCTCAAAGCACTCCAAATGTCCACTTGCAGATTCTACAAAAAAGAGGATCAAAACTGCTCGATCAAAAGAAAGGTTAAACTCTGTGAGATGAATACATACATCACAAAGAGGTTTCTCACATTGGTTCTGTCTAGATTTTATGTGAAGATATTTCCTTTATAACATAAGTCGCAAAGGGCTCCTAATGCCCACTTGTAGATTCTACAAAAAGAGTGTCTGTAAACTGCTCAATCAAAAGGAAGTTTCAACTCTGTGAGAAGAACGCACACATCACAAAGAAGTTTCTCAGAATTCTTCTGTCTAGTTTTTATGTGAAGATATTTCCTTTTCCACCACAGGCCTCAAAGCGCTCCAAATGTCCATTTGCACATTTTACAAAAAGAGTGTTTCAAACAGCTCTTTGAAAAGAAAGTTTCAACTCTGTGAGTTGAATGCACTCATCACAAAGAAGATTATGAGAATGCTTCTGTTGAATGTTTATGTGAAGATATTCCCATTTCCAACGAAGGTCTCAAAGCAGTACAAATATCCACTTGCAGATTCTACTAAAAGAGTGTTTCAAAACTGCTCTATGATAAAGTATGTCCAATTCTGTGAGTTGAATGCAAACATCACAAATAATTTCTGAGAATTATTCTGTTTAGTTTTTATGTGAAGACATTTCCTTTTCAACCATAGGCCTCAAAGCGCTTCAAATGTCCACTTGTAGATTCTGCAAAAAGAGTGTTTCAAAACTGCTCTATCAAAAGAAAGTTTCATCTCTGTGAGTTGAATGCACACATCATACAGAAGTTTCTGAGAATGCTGCTGTCTAGTTTTTATGTGAAGATATTCCCGTTTGCAATGAAGGCCTCAAAGCGTTCCAAATATTCACTTGCAGATTCTACTAAAAGAGTGTTTCAAAACTGCTCTATAAGATATCTCCAACTCTGTGAGTTGAAGGCAAACATCACAAAGAAGTTTCTGAATGCTTCTCTCTAGTTTTTATGGGAAGATATTTCTTTTTCCACCATAGGTCTCAAAGTGCTCCAAATGTCCAATGCAGATGCTACAGAAAGAGTGGCTCAAACCTGCTCTATCAAAAGAAAGCTTCAACTCTGTCAGTTGAATGCACACATCAGAAAGAAGATTCTGAGAATGCTTCTGACTAGTTTTTATGTGAAGATATTTCCTTTTCCACCATAGGCCCCAAAGCGTTCCAAATGTCCACTTGCAGATTCTGCAAAAAGAGTGTTTCAAACCTGCTCTATCAAAAGAAAGGTTCAACTCTGTGAGTTGAATGCACACATCACAAACAAGTTACTGAGAATGCTTCTGTCTAGTTTTTATGTAGTGATATTCCTGTTTCCAACGAAGGCCTCAAAGCAGTCCAAATATAACAAGCAGATTCTACAAAAAAAGTGTTTCAAAATTCCTCCATGAAAAGGTATGTTCAACTGTGTGAGTTGAATGCAAACATCACAAAGAAGTTTCTGATATTGCTTATGTCTAGTTTTTATGTGAAGATACCTCATTTTCCACATAGGCCTCAAAGCTCTCCAAATGTCCACTTTCAAATTCTCCAAAAAGAGTGTTTCAAACCTGCTCTATCAAAAGAAAGGTTCAACTCTGTGAGTTGAATGCACATATCACAAAGAAGTTTCTGAGAATGCTTCTGTCTAGGTTTCATGTGAAGGTATTTCATTTTCCACCATAAGCCTCAAAGTTCAGAAATGTCCACTTGCAGATTCTACAAAAAGAGTGTTTCAAAACTGCCCTATCGAAAGAAATGTTCAACTCTGTGAGTTGAATGCACACATCAAAAAGAAGTTTCTGAGAATGTTTCTGTCTAGTTTTTATATGAAGATATTCCCGTTTCCAATGAATGCTTCAAAACAGTCCAAATATCCACTAGCGGATTCTACAAAAAGAGTGTTTCAAAACTGCTCTATGATAAATTATGTTCAACTCTGTGAGTAGTTGAATGCAAACATCACAAAGAAGTTTCTGAGAATGCTTCTGTCCAGTGTTTATGTGAAGATATACCCAATTCCAACAAAGGCCTCAAAGCTCTCCAAATTTCCACTTGCAGGATCTACAAAAAGAGCGTTTCAAAACTGCTCTATGAAGTGGTATGTTCAACTCTGTGAGTTGAATGCAAACATCACAAAGAAATTTCTGAGAATACTTCTGTCTAGTTTTTATGGGAAGATATTTCCTTTTCCACCATAGGCCACAAAGCGCTCCAAATGTCCACCTGCAGATTCTACAAAAAGAGTGTTTCAAACCTGCTCTATCAAAAGAAAGGTTCAACTCTGTGAGTTAAAGGCACACATCACAAAGAAGTTTGTGAGAATGCTTCTGTCTAGTGTTTATGTGAAGATATTGCCGTTTCAAACGAAGGTCTCAAAGCAGTACAAATATCCACTTGCAGATACTGCAAAAAGAGTGTTTCATAATTGATCCATCAAAAGAAATTTTCACCTCTGTTAGTTGAATGTACACATCACAAAAAGTTTCTCAGAATGCTGCTGTTTAGTTTTTATGTGAAGATATTCCCATTTCCAGCGAAGGCCTCAATGCGGTCCAAATATCCACTTGCAGATTCTTCTAAAAGAGTGTTTCAAAACTGCTCTATCAAAAGAAAGGTTCAACTCGGTGAGCTGAATGTACACATCACAAACAAGTTTCTGAGAATGATGCTGTCTAGTTTTTATTTGAAGATATCCCAGTTTCCAACGAAGGCCTCAAGGCATTCCAAATATCCACTTGCAGATTCTACTAAAAGAATGTTTCAAAACAGCTCTATGATAAGATATGTTCAACTCTGTGAGTTGAATGCAAGCAACCCAAAGAAGTTTCTGAGAAAGTTTCTAGCTAATTTTTATGGGAAGATATTTCCTTTTCCACCATAGGTCTCAAAACACTTTAAATGTCCAGTTACAGATTGTACAAAAAGTGTGTTTCAAACCTGCTCTATAAAAAGTAAGGTTCAACTCTGTGATTTTAATGCACACAGCACAAAGAAGTTTCAGAGAACCCTTGTCTAGTGATTATGTGAAGATATTCCCGTTTCCATCGAATGCCTCAAAGTGGTCCAAATATCCCCTTCAGATTCTACTAAAGGAGTGTATCAAAAGTGATCTATGGAAAGGAAGTTTCTACTCTGTGAATTGAATGCAAATATCAAAAAGAAGTTTCTGAGAGTGCTTCTGTCTAGTTTTTAAGTGAAGATATTTCCTTTTCTACCATAGGCCACAAAGCTCTCCAAATGTTCACTTGGAGATTCTACAAAATGAAAGTTTCAAACCTGCTCTATCAAAAGAAAGGTTCAGCTCTGTGAGTTGAATACACACATCACAAAGTTTCTGAGAATACCTCTGTCTAGTACTTATGTGAAGATATTCCCGTTTCCAACGAAGGCCTCAAAGCGGTCCAAATATCCACTTGCAGATTCTACAAAGAATGTTTCAAAAGGCTCTATGAAATGGTATGTTCAACTCTGTGAGTGGAATGCGAACATCACAAAGAAAATTCTGAGAATTCTTCTGTCTCATTTTTATATAAAGATATTTCCTTTTCTACAATAGGCCTCAAAGCTCTCCAAATGTCCACTTGCAGATTCTACAAAAAGAGTGTTTCAATCCTGCTCTATCAAAAGAAAGGTTCATCTCTGTGAGTGGAATGCACACATCACAAAGAAGTTTCTGAGAATACTTCTGTCTAGTGTTTATGTGAATATCTTCCGGCTTCCAATGAAGGCTTTAAAGCGGTCCAAATATCCTCCTGCCGATACTAAAAAAAGAGTGTTTCAAACCTGCCCTATCAAAAGAAAGGTTCAACTCTGTGCGTTGAATGTACACATCACAAAGAAGTTTCTGAGAATGCTCCTGTCTAGTTTTTATGTGAAGATAATCTCGTTTCCAACGAAGGCCTGAAAGCATTACAAATATCCACTTGCAGATTTTACTAAAGAGTGTTTCAAAACTGCTCTATGATAAAGTATTTTCAACTCTGTGAGTTGAAGGCAAACATTGCAAATGAGTTTCTGAGAATGCTTCAGTCTAGTTTTTATGGGAAGATATTTCCTTTTCCACCGTAGGCCTGAAAGCGCTCAAAATGTCCACTTGCAGATTCTGCAAAAAGAGTGTTTCAAACCTGCTCTATCAAAAGAAAGCTTCAAGTCTGTGAGTTGAATGTACACATCACAAGGAAGTTTCTGATAATGCTTCTGTCTAGTGTTTACGTGAAGATATAACCGATTCCAACAAAGGCCTCAAAGCTCTCCAAATTTCCACTTGCAGTTTCTGCAAAAAGAGTGTTTCAAAACTGCTCTATGAAATGGTATGTTCAACACTGTGAGTTGAATACAAACATCACAAAGAAGTTTCTGAGTATCCTTCTGTCTAGTTTCTATGGGAAGATATTTCCTTTTCCACCTTAGGCCTCTAAAGCGCTCCAAATGTCCATTTGCAGATTCTATAAAAAGAGTGCTTCAAATCTGCTCTCTCAAAAGAAAGTTTCAGCTCTGTGAGTTGAAGGGACACATCACAAACAAGTTTGTGAGGATGCTTCTCTCTAGTGTTTATGTGAATATATTTCCGTTTCAAATGAAGGCCTCAAAGCAGTAAAAATATCCACTTGCAAATTCTCCAAAAGACTGTTTCAAAACTGCTCTATCAAAAGAAAGGTTCAACTCTGTGAGTTGAATGTACATATCGCAAAGAAGTTAATGAGAATGCTGCTGTCTAGTTTTTATGTAAAGATATTCCCGTTTCCAACGAAGGCCTCAAAGCGGTCCAAATATCCAATTACAGTTTCTACAAAAAGAGTGTTTCAAAACTGCTTTATCATAAGGTATGTTCAACTCTGTGAGTTGAATGCAAACATTGCAAAGAAGTTTCTAAGAATACTTCTGTCTAGTTTTTATGTGAACATATTTCCTTTTCCACCATAGGCTCCAAAGTGCTCCAAAGGTTCACTTACGGATTCTACAAAAACAGTGTTTCAAACCTGCTCTGTCAAAAGAAAGGTTCAACACTGTGAGTTGAATGCACACAACACAAAGAAGTTTCTGAGAATGCTTCTGTCTAATTTTTATATAAGGATATTCCCATTTCCAACGAAGGCCAATAAACGGTCAAAATATCCACTTGTAGATTCTACTAAAAGAGTGTATCAAAACTTCTCTATGATAAAGTATGTCCAACTCTGTGAGTTGAATGCAAACATCACAAAGAAGTTTCTGAGAACGCCTCTGTCTAGTTTTTATGTGAAGATATTTCCTTTTCCACCATAGGCCTCAAGGCTCTCCAAATGTCCCCTTGCAGATTCTGCAAAAAGAGTGTTTCAAAACTCCTGTAACAAAAGAGAGGTTCAACTCTGTGAGTTGAATGCACACATCACAAAGAAGTTTCTGAGAACAATTCTGTCTAGTGTTTATGTGACGATATTCCAGTTTCCAATGAAGTCCTCAAAGCACTTCAAATATCCACTTGCAGATTCTACAAAAAGAGTGTTTCAAAACTGCTCTACCAAAAAATAGTTTCAACTCTGTCAGTTGAATGCAAACATCACAAAGAAGCTTCTGAGAATGCTTCTGTCTACTTTTTATGCGAAGATATTTCCTTTCCCACCTTAGGCCTCAAAGCTCTCCAAACTTCCACTTGAAGATTCTACAAAATGATGGTTTCAAAACTGCTCTATGATAAGTATGTTCAACTCTGTCAGTTGAAGGCAAACATTACAAAGATGTTTCTGAGAATTATTCTCTCTAGTTTTCATGGGAAGACATTTCCTTTTCCAGCACAGGCCTCAAAGCGCTCCAAATGTCCATTTGCAGATTCTACAAAAAGTGTTTGAAACCTGCTCTATCAAAAGAAAGGTTCATCTCTGAGTTGAATGCACACATCACAAAGAAGTTTCTGAGAATGCTTCTGTCTAGTGTTTATGTGAGATATTCCTGTTTCCAATGAAGGACTTAAAGTGGTCCAAATATCCTCTTGCAGATTCTATGAAAAGTGTTTAATGTCTGCCTTATCAAAAGAAAGGTTCAACTCTGTGAGTTGAATGCACAAATCACAAAGAAGTTTCTGAGAATGCTTCTGTCTAGTTTTTATGTGAAGATATTTCGTTTTCCACCATAGGCCACAAAGCTCTCCAAAAGTCCATGGACAGATTCTACAAAAAGAGTGTTTCAAAGCTGCCCTATCAAAAGAAAGGTTCAACTCTGTGAGTTGAATGTTCACATCACAAAGAAGTTTCTGAGAATGCTGCTGTCTAATTTTTATGTGAAGATACTCCTGTTTCTGATGAAGGCCTCAAAAAGTTCCAAATATCCACTTCCAGATTCAACTAAAAGATTGTTTCAAAACTGCTCTATCATAAGGTATGTTCAACACTGTGAGTTGAAGGCAAACATCACAAAGAAGTTTCTGAGAATGCTTCTGTCTAGTTTTTATTGGAAGATATTTCCTTTTCCACCGTAGGGCTTAAATCGCTCCAAATGTCCACTTGCAGATTATACAAAAAGAGTGTTTCAAACCTGCTCTATCTAAAGAAAGCTTGAAATCTGTGAGTTGAATGCACACAGCACAAAGAAGTTTCTGAGAAAGCTTCTGTCTAGTGATTATGTGAAGATATTCCCGTTTCCAATGAAGGCTGGTAAGCAGTCCAAATATCCGCTTGCAGATTCTGCGAAAAGAGTGTTTCAAAACTGCTCTATGATACAGTATGTCCAAATCTGTGGGTTGAAAGCAAACATCACAAAGAAGTTTCTGAGAATGCTTCTGTCTAGTTTTTATGTGAAGATATTTCCTTTTCCACCATAGGCCTCAAGGCGCTCCAAATGTCCACTTGCAGATTCTGCAAAAAGAGTGTTTCAACCTGCTCTATCAAAAGAAAGGTTAAACTCTGTGAGTTGAATGCACACAGCACAAAGAAGTTTCTGAGAATGCTTCTGTCTAGTGTTTATGTGAAGATATTCCCGTTTCCAACGAAGGCCTCAAAGCGGTCCAAATATCCATTTGCAGATTCTACAAAAAGAGCGTTTAAAACCAGCTCTATCAAAAGAAAGGCTCAACTCTGTTAGTTGAATGTACGCATCACAAAGAAGTTTCTGAGAATGCTGCTGTCTAATTTTTATGTGAAGATATTCCCGTTTCCAATGAAGGCCTGAAAGCATTCAAAATATCCACTTCCAGATTCTACTAAAAGAGTGCTTCAAAACTGCTCTATGATAAGGTATGTTCAACTCTGTGAGTTGAAGGCAAACATCACAAAGAAGTTTCTGAGAATGCTTCTGTCTAGTTTTTATGTGAAGATATTTCCTTTTCCACCATAGGCCTCAAGGCGCTCCAAATGTCCACTTGCAGATTCTGCAAAAAGAGTGTTTCAAACCTGCTCTATCAAAAGAAATGTTCAACTCTGTGAGTTGAATGCACACATCACAGAGAAGTTTCTGAGAATTTTTCTGTCTGGCTTTTATATAAAGATATTACCTTTTCCACCTTAGGCCTCAAAGCTCTCAAAATATCCGCTGGCAGATTCTACAAAAAGAGAGTTTGAAAGCTGCTCTATGATAAGGTATGTTCAACTCTGTGAGTTGAATGCTCACCTCATAAAGAAGTTTCTGGGAATGCTTCTGTCTAGTGTTTATGTGAAGATATTCCTGTTTCCAAAGAAGGCCTCAAAGCGGACCAAATATCCAATTGCAAATTCTACAAAAAGAGTGTTTCAAAGCTGCTCTATCAAAAGAAAGGCCCAACTCTGTGAGTTGAATGCACACATCACAAAAAAGTTTCTGAGAATGCTTCTGTCTAGAGTTTATGTGAAGATATACCCGTTTCCAACGAAGACCTCAAACTGGTCCAAATATCCACATAGAGATTCTACAAAAAGAGGGTTTCTAAACTGCTCTATCAAAGGAAAGGTTCAACTCTGTGAGTTGAATGCACACATCACAAAAAAGTTTCTGAGAATGCCTCTGTCTAGAGTTTATGTGAAGATATACCCGTTTCCAACGAAGACCTCAAACTGGTCGAAATACCCACATACAGATTCTACAAACAGGGGGTTCTTAAACTTCTCTATAAGAAGAAAGGTTCAACTCTGTGACATGAATGTACACATCACAAAGTAGTTTCTGAGAAAGCTTCTATCTAGTGATTATCTGAAGACATTCCCATTTCCAACGAATGCCTCAAAGCGGTCCAAATATCCACTTGCAGATTCTACTAAAAGAGTGTGTCAAAACTGCCCTATGATAAAGTATCTTCAACTCTGTGAGTTGAATGCAAACATCACAAAGATGTTTCTCAGAATGATTCTGTCTATATTTTATGTGAGGATATTTCCTTTTCGGCCATAGGTCTCAAAGCTCTCCAAATGTCCACTTGCAGATTCTACAAAAACAGTGTTTCAAGACTGCTCTATCAAAAGAAAGGTTCAATTCTGTGAGTTGAATGCACACAGCACAAAGAAGTTTCTGAGAAAACTTCTCTCTAGAGATTATGTGAAGATATTCCCATTTCCAAAGAAAGCCTCAAAGCGGTCCAAATATCCACTCGCAGATTCTACTAAAAGAGTGTTTCAAAACTGCTCTATGATAAAGTGTGTCCAACTCTGTGAGTGGAATGCTAACATCACAAAGAAGTTTCTGAGAATGCTTCTGTCTAGTTTTTATGTGAAGATATTTCCTTTTCCACCATAGGCCTCAAAGCGCTTCAAATGTCCACTTGCAGTTTCGGCAAAAAGAGTGTTTCAAACCTGCCCTATCAAAAGAAAGGTTCAACTCTGTGAGTTAAATTCGCACGTCACAAAGAAGTTTCTGACAATGCTTCTGTCTAGTGATTATGTGAAGGTATCCTATTTCCAAAGAATGCCTCGAAGCAGTTCAAATATGCAGTTGCAGATTCTACAAGAAGAGTGTTTCAAAACTGCTCTATCAAAAGAAAGGTTCAACTCTGTGAGTTGAATGTATACATCACAAAGAAGTTTCTGAGAATGCTTCTCTCTAGTTTTTATGTGAAGATGTACCCGTTTCCAATGAAGGCCTCAAGGCTTTCCATATATCCACTTGCAGATTCTACTAAAAGAGTGTTTCAAAACTGCTCTATGATGAGGTATGTTCAACTCTGTGCGTTGAAGGCAAACATCACAAAGAAGTTTCTGAGAATGCTTATTTCTATTTTTTATGGGAAGATATTTATTTTTCCACCATAGGCCTCAAAGCGCTTCAATTGTCCACTTGCAGATTCTGCAAAAAGAGTGTTTCAAACCTGCCCTATCAAAAGAAAGGTTCAACTGTGTGAGTTGAATTCGCACATCACAAAGAAGTTTCTCAGAATTCTTCTGTCTAGTTTTTATCTGAAGACATTTCCTTTTCCACCATAGACCTCAAACCACTCCAAATGTACACTTGCAGATTCTACAAAAAGAGAGTTTCAAAACTGCTCAATCAAAAGAAATGTTTAACTCTGTGAGATGAATGGACACATCATAAAGTACTTTATCAGACTGCTTTTATCTAGATTTTCTGTGAAGATATTTCCTTTTCTACGAGAGGTCACAAAGTGTTCCAATTGTCCACTTGCATATTCCACAAAAAGAGTGCTTCCAAACTGCTCAGTCAAAAGAAAGGTTCAACTCTTTGAGATGTAAGCACAAATCACAAAGAAGTTTCTCAGAATTTTTCTGTTTAGTTTTTATGTGAAAATATTTACTTTTCCACCATAGGCCTCAAAGCGCTCCAAATGTCCACTTGCAGATTTTACAAAAAGAGAGTTTCAAGACAGCTCAATCAAAAGAAAGTTTTAACTCTGTGAGATGAATGCACACATCAAAAAGAAGTTTCTCAGATTCATTCTATCTAGATTTTATGGGAATATATTTCCTTTTCTAACATAGGCTGCAAAGCACTCCAAATGTCCATTTGCAGATTCCACAAAAAGAGTGTTTCCAAACTGCTTAATCATAAGAAAGGTTCAACTCTGTGAGATAAACATCACAAAGCATCACAAAGAAGTTTCTCCGAATTCTTCTGTGTAGTTTTGATGTGAAAATATTTCCTTTTCCTCCACAGGCCTCAAAGCGCTCCAAATGTTAACTTGCAGATTCTACAAAAAGAGAGATTCAAAACTGCTCAATCAAAACAAAGGCTTAACTCTTTGAGATCAGTGCACACATCACAAAGAAGTTTCTAAAAAAGCTTCTGTCGAGTTTTTATGTGAAGATATTTCGTTTTCCACCGTAGGCCTCAAAGCGCTCCAAATGTCCACTTCCACATTCAACAAAAAGAGAGTTTCAAAACTGCTCAATCAAAAGTAAGAGTTAACCCTGTGAGATGAATGCACTCATCCCAAAGAAGTTTCTCAGATTGCTTCTGTCTAGATTTTATGTGAAACTGTTTCCTTTTCTAACATAGGCTGCAAAGCGCTCCAAATGCTCACTTAGAGAATCTACAAAGAGTGTTTCAAATATTCTCAATCAAAAGAAATGTTCAACTCTGTCAGATGAATGCACACATCACAAAGAAGTTTCTCAGAGTTCTTCTGTCTAGTTTTTATGTGAAGATATTTCCTTTTCCACCATAGGCCTCAAAGCACTCCAAATGTCCACTTGCAGATTCTACAAAAAGAGAGTTTCAATACTGCTCTATCAAAAGGAATGTTTAACTCTGTGAGAAGAATGCACACGTCACAAAGAGATTTCTCAGATTGCTTCTTTCTAGATTTAATGTGAAGATATTTCCTTTTCTATCATAGTCGGCAAAGCGCTCCAAATGTCCACTTGCACATTCTACAAAAAGAGTGATTCCAAACTGCTCAATCAAAAGGAAGGTTCAACTCTGTGAGATGAATGCACACATCACAAAGAAGTTTCTCAGATTGCTTCTGTCTAGGTTTTATGTGAAGATATTTCCTTTTCTACCTTAGGCCCCAAAGCGCTCCAAGTGTCCACTTGTAGATTTTACAAAAAGAGTGTTTCCAAACTGCTCAATCAAAAGGAAGTTTCAACTCTGTGAGATGAACACACACATCACAAAGAAGTTTCTCAGAATTCTTCTGTCTAGTTTTTATGGGAAGATATTTCCTTTTCCACCATAGGCCTAAAAGCACTCCAAATGCCCACTTGCAGATTCTACAAAAAGAGAGTTTCAAAACTGCTCAATCAAACAAAAGTTTTAACCCTGTGAGATGAAAGCACACATCACAAAGAAGTTTCTCAGATTGCTTTTGTCTAGATTTTATGTGAAGATGTTTCTTTTACTACCATAGGCCTCAAAGCGCTCCAAATGTCCACTTGCAGATTCTACAAAATAGAGTTTCAAGACAGCTCAATCAAAAGAAAAGTTTAACTCTGTGAAATGAATGCACACATCACAAAGTAGTTTCTCAGATTGCTTCTGTCTGAATTTTATGTGAAGATATTTCCTTTTCTACCATAGGCCACAAAGTGCTCAAAATGTCCACTTGCAGATTCTACAAAAAGAGTGTTTCCAAACAGCTCAATCAAAAGAAAGGTTCCACTCTGTGAGATGAAAGCACACATCACAAAGAAGTTTCACAGTATTCTTCAATCTGGTTTTTATGTGAAGATATTTTCTTTTCCACATTGTCCTCAAACCGCTCCAAATGTACTCTTCCAGATTCTACAAAAACAGAGTTTAAAAATGCTCCATCAAAAGCAGTGTTTAAGTCTCTGAGATGAATGCACATTTCACAAAGAATTTTCTCATATTGCTTCTGTCTAGATTTTATGTGCAGGTATTTCCTTTTCTACCACTGGCCGCAAAGCGCTCCAAATCTCCACTTGCAGATTCTGCAAACGGAGTGCTTCCAAAATGCTCAATCAAAATGAAGGTTCAACTCAGTGAGATGAACACACACATCACAAAGAAGTTTCTCAGAATTCTTCTGTCTAGTATTTATGTGAAATTATTTCCTTTTCCACCATAGGCCTCAAAGCGCTCCAAATGTCCACTTGCAGATTCTACAAAAAGAGAGTTTCAAAACTGCTCAACCAAACTAAAGTTTTAACTCTGTGAAATGAATGCACAAATCACAAAGTAGTTTCTCAGATTGGCTCTGTCTGAATTTTATGTGAAGATATTTCCTTTTCTATCATAGGCCACAAAGTGCTCCAAATGTCCACTTGCAGATTCTACAAAAAGAGTCTTTCCAAACAGCTCAATCAAAAGAAAGTTTCAACTCTGTGAGATGAACGCACACATCACAAAGAAGTTTGTCAGAATTCTTCTCTCTAGTTTTTATGTGAAGATAAATTCCTTTTCCACCGTAGGCTTCAAAGTGCTCCAAATGACCATTTGCAGATTCTACAAAAGAGGGTTTCAACACTGCTCAATCAAAAGAAAGGCTCAATTCTGCGAGATGAACGCACATATCACAAAGAACTTTCTCAGAATTCTTCTGTTTTGTTTTTATGTGAAGATATTTCCTTTTAAACCATAGGCCTCAAGGTACTCGAAATGTCCACTTGAAGATTCTACAGAGTATTTCAAAACTGGTCCTTCGAAAGAAAGATTCAACTCTGGGTGATGAATGCGCACATCACAAAATCTTTCTCAGAACACTTCAATATAGTTTTTATGTGAAGATATTTCATTTTCCACCATAGGCCTCAAAGCGCTCCAAATGTCCACTTGCAGATTCTACAAAAAGACAGTTTCAAAACTGCTCAATCAAAAGAAATGTTTATCTCTGTGAGATGAATGCACACATCACAAAGTTGTTTCTCAGATTACTTCTGTCTAGATTTTATGTGAACATATTTCCTAGTCTACCATAGGCCGCAAAGTGCTCCAAATGTCCACTTGCAGATTCTGTAAAAAGAGGGTTTCCAAACTGCTCAATCAAAAGAAAGTTTCAACTCTGTGAGATGAACGTGCCCATCACAAAGTTTTTCAGAATTCTTCTGTCTACTTTTTATGGGAAGATATTTCCTTTTTCACCGTAAGCCTCAAAGCACTCGAAATGTCCACTTACAGAGTCTACGAAAAGAGAGGTTCAAAACTGCTCAATCAAAAGAATGGCTTAACTCTGTGAGATGAATGCACATATCACAAAGAAGTTTCTCAGATTGCTTCTGTCTAGATATTATTTGAAGATAATTCCTTTTCTACCACAGGCCACAAAGCACTCCAAATGTCCACTTGCAGATTCTAAAAAAGAGTGTTTCCAAAATACTCAATCAACAGAAAGGTTCAAATCTGTGACATGAATGCACACATCACAAAGAAGTTTCTCAGAAATCTTCTGTCTATTTTTATGTGGAGATATTTCCTTTTCCACCAGGGGCCACAAAGTGCACCAAATGTCCAAATTCAGATTCTACAAATAGAGTCTTTCAAAACTGCTCAATCAAAAGAAAGGTTCAACTCTGTGAGATGAATCCACACATCTCAGTGAAGTTTTTCAGAATGTTTCTGTATAGTTCTAGTGTGACGATATTTCTTTTTCCACCATTGCCTTAAAGCGCCAAAAATGTCCACTTGCAGATGCTACAGAAAGAGTGTTTCAAAGCTGCTCTTGTCTGATTGCTTCTGTCTAGATTTTATGTGAACATATTTCCTTTTCTACTGTAGGCCACTAAGTGCTCCAATTGTGCACCTGAAGATTCTTCAAAAAGTCTGTTTCCAAACTGCTCAATCAAAAGAAAAGTTCAACTCTGTAACATGAAGGCACACATCTCAAAGAAGTTTCTCAGAATTCTTCTGTCTAGTTTTTATGTGAAAATATTACATTTTCCACCATTGCCTCAAAGCACCAAAAATGTCCACTTGCAGATACTACAGAAAGAGTGTTTCAAAGTGGCTCAATCAAAAGAAAGTTTCAACCCTATGAGATGAATGCACACATCACATAGAAGTTTCTCAGAATGCTTCTGTCTAGTTATTATGTGAAGATATTTCGTTTTCCACCATAGGCATCAAAGCGCTCCAAATGTCCACTTACAGATTCTACAAAAGGAGTGTTTCAAAACTGCTCAATCGAAATTAAGGTTCCACTCTGCGAGATGAATACACACATCACAAAAACTTTGTCAGATTGCTTCTGTCTAGTTTTGTGTGAAGATATTTCCTTTTCCACCACAGGACTCAAAGCTCTCCAAATGTCCACTTGCAGATTCTACAAAAAGAGTGTTTCAAAACTGCTCTAACGAAAGTTAAGTTCAACTCCATGAGATAAATGGCAACTCCGTGAGATAAATGACAAATAAACTTGTCAGAATGCTTCTGCCTAGTTTTAATGTGAAGATATTTCCTTTTCCACCATAGGCCTCAAAGCGCTCCAAATGTCCACTTGCAGATTCTACAAAATGAGAGTTCTCAAAACTGCTCAATTAAAATAAAGTTTCAGCTCTGTGAGAGGAATGCGCACATCACAAAGCAGTTTCACAGAATGCTTCCATCTAGTTCTTAAATGAAGATATTTCCTTTTCCACCATAGGCCAAAAAGTGCTCCAAATGTCCATTTGCAGATATTACAAAAAGAGTTTTTCAAAACTGCTCAATGTCTGTTCATGTACTTCCGCCACTTTCTGATGAGGTTGTTTGTTTTTTTCTTGTAAATTTGTTTGAGTTCATTGTAGATTCTGGATATTAGCCCTTTTTCAGATGAGTAGTTTGTGAAACTTTTCTCCCATTTTGTAGGTTGCCTGTTCACTCTGATGATTGTTTCTTTTGCTGTGCAGAAGCTCTTTAGTTTAATTAGATCTCATTTGTCAATGTTGGCTTTTGTTGCCATTGCTTTTGGTGTTTTACACATGAAGTCCTTGTCAATGCCTATGTTCTGAATGGTAATGACTAGGTTTTCTTCTAGGGTTTTTATGGTTTTAGGTTGAACGTTTAAGTCTTTAATCCATCTTGAATTAATTTTTGTGTAAGGTGTAAGGAAGGGATCCAGTTTCAGCTTTCTACATATGGCTAGCCAGTTTTCCCAGCACCATTTATTAAATAGGGAATCCTTTCCCCATTGCTTGTTTTTCTCAGGTTTGTCAAAGATCAGATAGTTCAAGATATGTGGCATTATTTCTGAGGGCTCTGTTCTGTTCCATTGATCTATATCTCTGTTTTGGTACTAGTACCATGCTGTTTTGGTTACCGTAGCCTTGTAGTATAGTTTGAAGTCAGGTAGTGTGATGCCTCCAGCATTGTTCTTTTGGCTCAGGATTGACTTGGCTATGCGGGCTCTTTTTTGGTTCCATATGAACTTTAAAGTAGTTTTTTCTAATTCTGGGAAGAAAGTCATTAGTAGCTTGATGGGGATGGCATTGAATGTGTAAATTACCTTGGGCAGTATGGTCATTTTCACAATATTGATTCTTCCTACCCATGAGCATGGAAAGTTCTTCCATTTGTTTGTATCCTCTTTTATTTCCTTGAGCAGTGGTTTGTAGTTCTCCTTGAAGAGGTCCTTCACATCCCTTGTAAGTTGGATTCCTAGGTATTTTATTTTCTTTGAAGCAATTGTGAATGGGAGTTCACTCATGATTTGGCTCTCTGTTTGTCTGTTGTTGGTGTATAAGAATGCTTGTGATGTTTATACATTGATTTTTGAGGACATGAACAGACATTTCTCAAAAGAAGTCATTTATGCAGCCAAAAAACACATGAAAAAATGCTCACCATCACTGGCCATCAGAGAAATGCAAATCAAAACCACAATGAGATACCATCTTACAGCAGTTAGAGTGGCAATCATTAAAAAGTCAGGAAACAACAGGTGCTGGAGACGATGTGGAGAAATAGGAACACTTTTACACTGTTGGTGGGACTGTAAACTAGTTCAACCACTGTGGAAGTCAGTGTGGCAATTCCTCAGGGATCTAGAACTAAAAATACCATTTGACCCAGCCATCCCATTACTGGGTATTTACCCAGAGGGCTATAAATCATGCTGCTATAAAGACACATGTACACGTATGTTTATTGCAGCATTATTCACAATAGCAAAGACTTGGAACCAACCCAAATGTCCAACAATGATAGACTGGATTAAGAAAATGTGGCACATATACACCATGGAATACTATGCAGCCATAAAAAATGATGAGTTCATGTCCTTTGTAGGGACGTGGATGAAATTGGAAATCATCATTCTCAGCAAACTATCACAAGAACAAAAAACCAAACACCGCATATTCTCACTCATACTTGGGAATTGAACAATGAGAACACATGGACACAGGAAGGGGAACATCACACTCTGGGGACTGTTGTGGGGTGGGAGGAGAGGGGAGGGATAGCATTGGGAGATATTCCTAATGCTAGATGACGAGTTAGTGGGTGCAGTGCACCAGCATGGCACATGTATACATATGTAACTAACCTGCACATTGTGCGCATGTACCCTAAAACTTAAAGTATAACAATAATAAATAAATAAATAAATAAATAAATAAATAAATAAAAACTGCTCAATGAAATAAAGGTTCAACTCTGTGACATGAATGCACACATCAGAAAGAAATTTCTCAGAATATTTCTGAATCGTTTTTATGTGAAGATATTTCCTTTTCCACTATTGGCCTCAAAGTGCCCCAAATCTCCACATGCAGATTCTAAAAAAAGAGTGTTTCAAAGCTGCTCAATCAAAAGAAAGTTTCAACACTCTGAGATGAATGCACACGTCACAAAGAAGTTTCTCAGAATGCTTCTGTCTACTTTTTATGTGAAGATATTTCCTTTTCCACCATTGGCCTCAAAGCACTCCAAATGTCCTCTTGCATATTCTACAAAAAGAGTGTTTCAAAGCTGCTGAATCAAAAGAAATGTTCAACACTGTGAGATGAATGCACCCATCACAAAAAAGTTTCTCAGAATGCTTCTGTCTAGTTTTTATTTGAAGATATTTCCTTTTACACCATAGGCCTCAAAACGCTCCAAATGTAAACATCCAGATCTTACAAAAATAGTTTTTCCAAACTGCTCCATCAAAATAACAGTTTAACTCTGTGAGATGAATCCACACATCACAAAGAATTTTCTCTGAATGATTCTGTCTAGTTTTTACGGGAATATATTTCCTTTTCCACCATAGGACTCTAAGCGCTCCAAATGTCCAATACTAGATGCTACAAAAAGAGGGTTTCAAAGCTGCTGGATCAAAAGAAAGGTTCAAATCTGTGAGATGAATGCATGCACACATCACAAAGAGTTTCTCAAAATGCTTCTCTCTAGTTTTTATATCAAGATATTTCCTTTTCCTCCATAGGACTCTAAGCACTCCAAATGTCCAATTCTAGACTCTACAAAAAGAGTGTTTCAAAACTGCTCAATCGAAAGTAAGTTTCAACCCTGTGAGATGAATGCAGACATCATAAAGAGGTTTTTCAGAATGTTTCTGTCTAGTTTTTAATGGGAAGATATTTCCTTTTCCACCATAGGCCTCAAAGCACTCCAAATGTCTGCTTGTGGATTCTACGAAAAGAGTGTTTCAAAACTGCTCAATCAAAAGAAAGGTTCATCTCTGTGAGACGAATGCACACATCACAAAGAAGTTTCACAGAATGCTTCTGTCTAGTTTTTATGTGAAGATATTTCCTTTTCCACTGTAGGACACAAAGAGCTCAAAATGTTCACTTGCAGAGTCTAAAAAGGAGTTTTTCAAAGCTGCTCAATCAAAAGTATGGTTCAACTCTGTAAGATAAATGCACACAACACAAAGAAGTTTCTCAGAATGCTTCCGCCTAGTTGTTAAGTGAAGATATTTCCTTCTCCACCTTATGCCTCAAAGTGCACCAAATGTCCACTTGCGGATTCTACAAAAAGAGTGTTTCAAAACTGCTCAGTCAAAAGAAAGGTTCAACTCTGTGAGTTGAATGCACACATCACAAAGAAGCTTGTGAGAATGTTTCTGTATAGTTTTTATGTGAAGATAATTCCTTTTCCACCATAGGCCTCAAATCACTCCAAATGTCCACTTGCAGATCCTACAAAAAGAGTGTTTCAAAGGTGCTCAATCTAAGGAGAGGTTCAACTCTGTGTGATGAATGCACACATCACAAAGAAGTTTCTCAGAATGTTTTTGTCTAGTTATAATGAGAAGATATTTCTTTTTCCACCATAGGCCTCAAAGACCTCCAAATGTCCACTTGCTGCTCCTATAAAAAGAGGGTTTCAAAACTGCTCAATTGAAAGTTATGTTCAACTCTGTGAGGTGAATGCATACATCATGAAGAAGTTTCTCAGAATTCTTCTGTCTAGTTTTTATGTGAAGATATTTCGTTTTCCACCACAGGCTGCAAAGCGCTCCAAATGTTCAATTGTAGATTCTACAAAACGATTGTTTCAAAACTGTTCAATCAAAAGAAAGTCACAACTCTGTGAGATGAATTCACACATCACAAAGGAGTTTGTCAGAATGCTTCTGTCTAGTTTTTATGTGAGGACATTTCCTTTTCCACCATATGCTGCAAAGAGCTCCAAATGTCCACTTGCAGAGTCTATAAAAAGAGTTTTTCAAAGCTGCTCAAAAAAAAAAGAAAGGTTCAACTCTGTGAAATGAATGCACCCATCACAAAGAAGTTTCTCAGAATTATTCTGTCTAGTACTTAAGTGAAGATAGTTTGTTTTCCCCCATAGGCCTCAAAGCGTTCCAATTGTCCACTAGCAGATTCTACAAAAAGAGAGTTTCCAAGTTGCTCAATCAAAAGAAAGATTCAACTCTGTCAGACGAATGGACACATCACAAAGAAGTTTCTCAGAATGTTTCTGAACAGTTTTTATGTGAAGAAATTTCCATTTCCACCATAGTCCGCAAAGCGCTCCAAATGTCCACTTGGAGATTCTACAAAAAGAGTGTGTCAAAACTGCTCAATCAAAAGAAAGTTTCAACTCTGTGAGATGAATGCACATATCACAAAGAACTTTCTCAGAATGCTTCTGTCTAATTATAATATGAAAATATTTTGTTTTCTGCCTTAGGCCTCAAAGCTCTCCAAATGTTAACTTGCAGACCCTTTTCCACCATAGGCCTCAAAGCGCTTCAAATATCCACTTGCAGATTCCGCAAAAAGAATATTTGAAAGCAGCTAAATCAAAAGAAATGTTCAACACTGTGAGAAGAATGCACACATCACAAAGGAGCTTCTCAAAATGCCTCTGCCTAGTTTTTATGTGAAGATATTTCCTTTTCCACCATAGGCTGCCAAGCATTAAAAATATCCACTTGCAGATTCTACAAAAAGAGTGTTTCCAAACTGCTCAATCGAAAGTATGTTTGAACTCTATGAGATGAATGCACACATCACAAAGATGTTTCAGAGAATGCTCCTGTGTAGTTTTTATGTGAAGATATTTCCTTTTCCACCATAGGCCCCAAAGAGCTCCAAATGTCCACTTGCAGATTCTACAAAAAGAGTGTTTCAAAACTGCTCAACCAAAAGTAAACTTCAACTCTGTGAGATGAATGCACACATCAAAAAGAAGTTTCTCACAATGCTTCTGTCTAGTTGTTATGTGAAGATATTTCTTTTTCCACCACTGGCCTCAGAGCGCTCCAAATATCCTCTTGCAGATTCTACAAAAAGAGTGTTTAAAAATTGCTCAATCAAAGGTAAAGTTCAACTCTGTGAGATGAATGCACATATCACACAGAAGTTTCTCAGAATGCTTCGGTCTACTTTTTATGTGAAAATATTTCCTTTTCCACCAGAAGACTCAAAGCGCTCAAAACAACCACTGGCCGATTATACATAAAGAGTGTTTCAAAACTGCTCAATCAAAAGAAAGGTTCAACTCTGTAAGATGAATGCACACACCCCAAAGAAGTTTCTCAGAATGCTTCTGTCTAGTTTTTATGTGAAGGTGTTTCCTTTTCCACCGTAGGCCTCAAAGCGCTTCAAATATCCACTTGCAGATTCTGCAAAAAGAATATTTGAAAGCAGCTAAATCAAAAGAAATGTTCAGCACTGTGAGATGAATGCACACATCACAAAGGAGCTTCTCAAAATGCCTCTGTCTAGTTTTTATGTGAAGATATTTCCTTTTCCACCATAGGCTGCCAAGCGTTAAAAATATCCACTTGCAGGTTCCACAAAAAGAGTGTTTCAAAACTTCTCAATCAAAAGAAAGGTTCAACTCTGTGAGATGAATGCACACATCACAAAGAAGTTTCTCAGAATGCTTCGGTGTAGTTTTTAGGTGAAGATATTTCCCTTTCCACCATAGGCCCCAAAGCGCTCCAAATATCCACTTGCAGATACTACAAAAAGTGTTTTTCAAAACTGCTGAATCCAAAGAAATGTTCAACTTTGTGAGATGAATGCACACATCAGAAAGAACTTACTCAGACTTCTTCTGTGTTGTTTTTAGGTGAAGATATTTCCGTTTCCACCATAGGACTTGAAGCCCTCAAAATATCCACTTGTTCATTCCACAAAAAGTGTGCTTCAAATCTGCTCAATCAAAAGAAAGTTTCAATTCTGTGAGATGAATGCACACATCACAAAGTAGTTTATCAGAATGCTTCTGTCCAGTTTTTATGTGAAGATATTTCCTTCTCCACCATAGACCTTAAGGCGCTCCAAATATCCACTTGCAGATTTTACAAAAAGAGTGTTTCAAACTGCTCAAAAGAAAGGTTCAACTCTGTGTGTTGAATGCACAAATCACAAAGAAGTTTCTCGGAATGCTTCTGTGTAGTTTTTATGTGAAGATATTTCCTTCTCCACTGTAGACCTTAAAGCACTCCAATTATCCACTTGCAGATCGTACAAAAAGAGGTTTCAAACTGCTCAATCAAAAGAAAGGTTCAACTCTGTGAGCTGAATGCACAAATCACAAAGAAATTTCTCAGAATGCTCCCGTCCAGTTTTTACATGAAGATGTTTCCTTTTACCACCATTGGCCACAAAGCGCTCAAAATATCCACTTGCAGATTCTACAAAAATAGTGTTTCAAAACTGCTCAATCAAAAGAAAGGTTCAGCTCTGAGACATGAATGCACACATCACAAAGGAGTTTCTCAGAAGGCTTCTGTCTAGTTTTTATGTGAAGATATTTCCGTTTCCACTATAGGCCGCAAAGCGCTCCAAATATCCACTTGCAGATTCTACAAAAAGATATTTTCCAAACTCCTCAATCAAAAGAAAGTTTAAACTCTGTGAGTCGAATGCACACATCACAAAGAAGTTTCTCAGAATACTTCTGTCTAGTTTTTAATTGAAGATACTTCCTTTTCCACCATTGTGCTCAAAGCACTCCAAGTATCCACTTTCAGATTCTACAAAAAGAGTGTTTCAAAACTGCTCAATCAAAACAAAGTTTCAATTCTGTGAGATGAATGCACACATCACAGAGAAGTTTCTCAGAATGCTTCTGTCTAGTATTTATGTGAAGATATTTCCTTTTCTACAATAGGCCTCAAACCACTCCAAATATCCACTTGCAAATACTACAAAAAGATTGTTTCAAAACTGCTCAATCAAAAGAAATCTTCAACTGTGTGAGTTGAATGCACACATCACAAAGAACTTTCTCAGAACGCTTCTGTGTAGTTTTTATTTGAAGATATTTCCTTTTCCACCACAAGCCCCAAACTGATCCAAATATCCACATGCAGATCCTTCAAAAGAAGTGTTTCAAAACTGTTCAATCAAAAGAAAGGTTCAATTCTGTGAGATGAATGCACACATCACAAAGAAGTTTCTCATAAGGCATTTGTGTAGTTTTTATGTGAAGATGTTTCCTTTTCCTCCATAGGCCTCAAATCGCTCCAAATGTCCACTTGCAGATTCTACAAAAGAGTGTTTCAAAGCTGCTCAATCAAAAGAAATGTTCAGCTCTGTGAGATGAAGGCACACATCACAAAGAAGTTTCTCAGGATGCTTCTGTCTAGTTTTTAAGGGAAGATATTTCCCTTTCCTCTAGAGGTCCAAAAGCCCTCCAACTTTGCAGATACTAGAAAAAGAGTGTTTCAAAACTGCTCAATCAAAAGAATATTTCAACTCTGTGAGTTGAATGCACACATCACAAAGAAGTTTCTCAGAATGTTTCTGTCTAGTTTTTATGTGAAGATATTTCCTTTTCCACCATAGGTCCCAAAGCACTCAAAATATCCACTTGCAGGTTCTACAAAAAGAGTGTTTCAAAACTTCTCTATCAAGAGAAACATTCAACTGTGTGAGATGAATGCACAGATCACAGAGGAGTTTCTCAGAATGCTTCTATCTGGTTTTGATGTGAAGATATTTACTTTTCCACCATAGGCTGTAAAGCCCTCCAAATATCCACTTGCAGACACTACAAAAGGAGTATTTCAAAAGTGCTAAATCAAAAGAAAAGTTCAACTCTGTGAGGTGAATGCACACATCACAAAGAAGTTTCTCAGAATGCTTCTTTCTTGTCTTTATGTGAAGATATTTCCTTTTCCATTCAGAACCTCGTAGCAGTGTTCTGTAATCCTGTGTGAGGGACAAACACTCAGAATCCAGCCACTGTGTACTGGAATCCTATCTGAGGGCACACATTTAAAATCCAGATGTAGTCTCCTTGCTTTAGTGAATACACTTATCTCCTTTTCCTGCTATACATTTAGGCAAATTATTTTTCTGTATCTTAAATAAATGGTAAATACCTGAAATTTCTTACTTTTTCCAGGCAGAGTGTCTTCACTATTTAGCTGTAGAAGTATAACTATTTTTGCCTGTGTCACAATTTTGTACTCAGGAACCCTGGCCATGTCACTAGCCAAACGGACATAACTTATGGAATACATGGACAGCATCCGGTTGATATGCTCTAGAGAAAAATAGCAGCTACCATAGACTTCAGGAAAGACACATTGAGCAAATGACAAAAATGTGGGTTTCCTACCTTCAGGGAGTCTAAGAACGCAGTAGAAAGTGATGTGGAGCAAACATCTTTCAAATGGAAGGAAGGGATAGGGAAAGAAGACTGTTACAGGCTCTTTTGAATGTTAGAGGCAACATAAAACATATTTGGATGTGTATTCTAAATAAAATGCAAATGTCAAGAAGGATGTCAGCTGTGAGTGGGACTCAGAGAAAGAGAAACGTTTTGGACTTCAGAGGCCTGCAGTACAAGTGGATCTACTATTTTGTTTAGGGAATCCAATGCCTCAGGTATCTATGAGAGGCAGAATTTTCCTATGGAGCCAGCGGCAAGGCTCCAGAGGAGAAATACAGTACAAGTCACTTTATTTTGGAGTAAAAGCCTTTTGTACAAAAATTACCCGCCCCCTCCTTTTTTGAGAAACAATTTCACATTGGGATACTAATAAGAAGGAATGCTCAGTCATGAATAAGGGTGACCCCGTTGTGATCTGAGCATTATAGGATCATACTAACTACAACCAGTCTTCCATCATTCCATGGAAATTGCATGTATGCCACGTTGCCTTCTCAGTTTCCAAGGGATCAATTAATGAACAGGCTACTCACATTTTCAGCATCCTACTCCTGACACACTTCCACCCTTCTTTCTATTTATCTGTGATTCATAGAGATTTGCCTATGACTGGATTCCTGAGGAGAAAAAAGTCTGGATTACAGATGGCATTCCTTGTTATGGAAGGCCCTTCCTTCTGAAAGTCTATTTCTATCCTGTTCTTTTCCTGTGCTGTCAAAGGGTCACCCCTTTGTGCAAAGGAGAAGAGAAATCCATCAAGTAAATAAAATTTCACTTACCTTTGTAAAAAATATTTCTACCAATTCACGTGGAGGACCTTATGGTTTGGTCCGATAATCAGAGATTTGAAAGAACCTGATATTGTTGGCCAGCAGATTAGAAAAGAGTTATTAGAGAGAGATGGCTCAAGTGATAATAACTGTGTGCCTTGTGAATGCTCACCTAAACCAAAGATCACTGAAGATAATGTATTTTACCATAATGTTTTAATCTCAGGTAAATGCCAACCAGGAGACAGACACTTGTTTATCTCCTGATTGGTATTGATCTGAATTAAGCTGTCTGCCATTTGGAGAAATTTAAATGCTATTTTAAACACACAGTCTTGTTACTTGAGTTGTTTATGATCTTAAGCTGCTCCCCTCCTTTTGTGGGTTAGATTGTGTCTTCAAAAAGAAAAAATATATATTAGAGTTCTAGCCCCTGATGTCTGTGAGTATGACTTAATTTGAAATCAAATTATTTGCAGATGCTGTATAATTATGATATGCTAGATGAGCTCATAATGCATTAGAGTGGGCCATAATTCAATATGGTTGATATCCTCATAAGAAAGGAAGAGGAAACAGAGACACAGGGAGGAGATGGCCATGTGAGGATGGAGGTAGAGAACAAAGTGAGGTATCCTCCAGCCAAGCAATGACAATGAAGCTCAGTGATCACCCGGTGCTAGTAGAAGCAAGAAAGGATTTTTTCCCAGGTCCTTCAGAGAAAAATGCAGCACTGCTAACTCCTTCATTTAAGATTTCTAGCTTCCTGAACCATAAAAGAATAACTTTATCTCATTTTAAGCGACCTAATGTGAACCACTTTGTCACAGCAGATGTAGGAAATTACACGTCCTTAAAGAATGCAGAATCCTGGCCCGTGCTTGCCTCATACCTATTGAATGAGAATTTAAGGGCTCTAGAATCTGCATTTTGAAACTAATACATAATACACAAAGAGAACTCACTAAGTACTCTACATGCACTTCATCCTCACAAGCCATGAAGTAGTTTACTATTATAATTCTCATTTTACATATGGGAAACTGGAGCATTAAAAGATTAAGTAATTTGCCTACAGTCACTCACATAACCAGAAAGTGGAAGAGCTGGGATTCAATCCCAGTTCCAGACATCCTGATATCCTGGGTTCAGACACCACACACTTAGCAACTATTACACACTTAGCATTATTATTATTATTATTATTCTTTTAATCACCATCTCCACCTTCTTAAGCACTCAAAAGTTGAAATCCAGTGGTGTGTTGCTGTTTCCATTCATAGCAAGTTATAGCCACAATCATAAACTACACTTCCTCCAAAACAGTATACTGACTTCTCATCTCTTTTTAAAATCCCTTCCATCCTTCTTTTCTTTCTTCTCTTCTCTTTTCTTTTCTCTTTTCTTTCTCTTGCTCTGCCACCCAGGCTGGAGTGCAGTGGCATCTTCTCGGCTCACTGCGACCTCCACCTCCTGGGTTCAAGCGATTCTCCTGTCTCAGCCTCCCAAGTAGCTAGGATTACAGGCGCCCAACACCACACCCGTTTAATTTTTGTATTTTTAGTAGAGATGGGGTTTCACATCTTGGCCAGGCTGGTCTTAAACTGCTGACGTCGTGATCCATCCACCTCGGCCTCCCAAAGTGCTGGGATTACAGGCATGAGCCACTGTGCCCAGCCTCTTTCACCCATTGAAATCTCATTTCAACAATTACCATCTTTTTTGAGTGGTATTTTTGAAGATATAAATGAATTCCCTATAATACATAGTGAGAATATTTATGGGAGCTTCCTAATTGACCTTTCTAAACATTCTGCATTGCTTCTCATTTCCTTCTTTAAATTTCCTTCTACCTTGACTTCCTTAAGACCACTCAATATTGGCCCCATGCTTTCATTTTTTTCTTTTTTCTTTTATTTTTTCTTTCTTTTTTTTCTTTTTTCTTTTTTTTTGAGACGAAGTTTCCCTCTTTTCACCCAGGCTGGAGTGCAACAGTGTGATCTCAGCTCACTGCAACCTCCGCCTCCCAGGTTCAAGAGACTCTCCTGCCTCAGCCTCCTGAGTAGCTGCGATTACAAGCATGTGCCACCATGCCCAGCTAATTTTGTATTTTTAGTAGAGATGGGGTTTCTTCATGTTGGTCAGGCTGGTCTCAAACTCCCAAACTCAGGTGATCTGCCCACCTCGGCCTCCCAAAGTGCTGGGATTACAGGCATGAGCCACAATGCCCAGCCCATGCTTTCTTTTTAATAACTCCTTGCTGCCTGGTTTTTTCATGTCCACTGTGTAAGTACTAGTCTTTTTTTTTTTTTTTTTTTATTATACTCTAAGTTTTAGGGTACATGTGCACATTGTGCAGGTTAGTTACATATGTATACATGTGCCATGCTGGTGCGCTGCACCCACTAATGTGTCATCTAGCATTAGGTATATCTCCCAATGCTATCCCTCCCCCCTCCCCCGACCCCACCACAGTCCCCAGAGTGTGATATTCCCCTTCCTGTGTCCATGTGATCTCATTGTTCAATTCCCACCTATGAGTGAGAATATGTGGTGTTTGGTTTTTTGTTCTTGAGATAGTTTACTGAGAATGATGGTTTCCAATTTCATCCATGTCCCTACAAAGGATATGAACTCATCATTTTTTATGATGCATAGTATTATGATGCATAGTATTCCATGGTGTATATGTGCCACATTTTCTTAATCCAGTCTATCATTGTTGGACATTTGGGTTGGTTCCAAGTCTTTGCTATTGTGAATAGTGCCGCAATAAACATACGTGTGCATGTGTCTTTATAGCAGCATGATTTATAGTCCTTTGGGTATATACCCAGTAATGGGATGGCTGGGTCAAATGGTATTTCTAGTTCTAGATCACTGAGGAATCGCCACACTGACTTCCACAATGGTTGAACTAGTTTACAGTCCCACCAACAGTGTAAAAGTGTTCCTATTTCTCCACATCCTCTCCAGCACCTGTTGTTTCCTGACTTTTTAATGATTGCCATTCTAACTGGTGTGAGATGATATCTCATAGTGGTTTTGATTTGCATTTCTCTGATGGCCAGTGATGATGAGCATTTCTTCATGTGTTTTTTGGCTGCATAAATGTCTTCTTTTGAGAAGTGTCTGTTCATGTCCTTTGCCCACTTTTTGATGGGGTTGTTTGTTTTTTTCTTGTAAATTTGTTTGAGTTCATTGTAGATTCTGGATATTAGCCCTTTGTCAGATGAGTAGGTTGCGAAAATTTTCTCCCATGTTGTAGGTTTCCTGTTCACTCTGATGGTAGTTTCTTTTGCTGTGCAGAAGTTCTTTAGTTTAATTAGATCCCATTTGTCAATGTTGGCTTTTGTTGCCATTGATTTTGGTGTTTTGGACATGAAGTCCTTGCCCACGCCTATGTCCTGAATGGTAATGCCTAGGTTTTCTTCTAGGGTTTTTATGGTTTTAGGTCTAACGTTTAAATCTTTAATCCATGTTGAATTGATTTTTGTATAAGGTGTAAGGAAGGGATCCAGTTTCAGCTTTCTACATATGGCTAGCCAGTTTTCCCAGCACCATTTATTAAATAGGGAATCCTTTCCCCATTGCTTGTTTTTCTCAGGTTTGTCAAAGATCAGATAGTTGTAGATATGCGGCATTATTTCTCAGGGCTCTGTTCTGTTCCATTGATCTATATCTCTGTTTTGGTACCAGTACCATGCTGTTTTGGTTACTGTAGCCTTGTAGTATAGTTTGAAGTCAGGTAGTGTGATGCCTCCAGCTTTGTTCTTTTGGCTTAGGATTGACTTGGCGATGCGGGCTCTTTTTTGGTTC
This sequence comes from Homo sapiens, assembly GCF_000001405.40. Classification (NCBI taxonomy): domain Eukaryota; kingdom Metazoa; phylum Chordata; class Mammalia; order Primates; family Hominidae; genus Homo; species Homo sapiens. The sequence goes on from NC_000022.11 coordinate 15,216,136, forward strand.
CATATGAACTTTAAAGTAGTTTTTTCCAATTCTGTGAAGAAAGTCATTGGTAGCTTGATGGGGATGGCATTGAATCTGTAAATTACCTTGGGCAGTATGGCCATTTTCACGATATTGATTCTTCCTACCCATGAGCATGGAATGTTCTTCCATTTGTTTGTGTCCTCTTTTATTTCCTTGAGCAGTGGTTTGTAGTTCTCCTTGAAGAGGTCCTTCACATCCCTTGTAAGTTGGATTCCTAGGTATTTTATTCTCTTTGAAGCAATTGTGAATGGGAGTTCACCCATGATTTGGCTCTCTGTTTGTCTGTTGTTGGTGTATAAGAATGCTTGTGATTTTTGTACATTGATTTTGTATCCTGAGACTTTGCTGAAGTTGCTTATCAGCTTAAGGAGATTTTGGGCTGAGACGATGGGGTTTTCTAGATAAACAATCATGTCGTCTGCAAACAGGAACAATTTGACTTCCTCTTTTCCTAATTGAATACCCTTTATTTCCTTCTCCTGCCTGATTGCCCTGGCCAGAACTTCCAACACTATGTTGAATAGGAGCGGTGAGAGAGGGCATCCCTGTCTTGTGCCAGTTTTCAAAGGGAATGCTTCCAGTTTTTGCCCATTCAGTATGATATTGGCTGTGGGTTTGTCATAGATAGCTCTTATTATTTTGAAATACGTCCCATCAATACCTAATTTATTGAGAGTTTTTAGCATGAAGGGTTGTTGAATTTTGTCAAAGGCTTTTTCTGCATCTATTGAGATAATCATGTGGTTTTTGTTTTTGGCTCTGTTTATATGCTGGATTACATTTATTGATTTGCGTATATTGAACCAGCCTTGCATCCCAGGGATGAAGCCCACTTGATCATGGTGGATAAGCTTTTTGATGTGCTGCTGGATTCAGTTTGCCAGTATTTTATTGAGGATTTTTGCATCAATGTTCATCAAGGATATTGGTCTAAAATTCTCTTTTTTGGTTGTGTCTCTGCCCGGCTTTGGTATCAGAATGATGCTGGCCTCATAAAATGAGTTAGGGAGGATTCCCTCTTTTTCTATTGATTGGAATAGTTTCAAAAGGAATGGTACCAGTTCCTCCTTGTACCTCTGGTAGAATTCGGCTGTGAATCCATCTGGTCCTGGACTCTTTTTGGTTGGTAAACTATTGATTATTGCCACAATTTCAGAGCCTGTTATTGGTCTATTCAGAGATTCAACTTCTTCCTGGTTTAGTCTTGGGAGAGTGTATGTGTCGAGGAATGTATCCATTTCTTCTAGATTTTCTAGTTTATTTGCGTAGAGGTGTTTGTAGTATTCTCTGATGGTAGTTTGTATTTCTGTGGGATCGGTGGTGATATCCCCTTTATCATTTTTTATTGTGTCTATTTGATTCTTCTCTCTTTTTTTCTTTATTAGTCTTGCTAGCGGTCTATCAATTTTGTTGATCCTTTCAAAAAAACAGCTCCTGGATTCATTGATTTTTTGAAGGGTTTTTTGTGTCTCTATTTCCTTCAGTTCTGCTCTGATTTTAGTTATTTCTTGCCTTCTGCTAGCTTTTGAATGTGTTTGCTCTTGCTTTTCTAGTTCTTTTAATTGTGATGTTAGGGTGTCAATTTTGGATCTTTCCTGCTTTCTCTTGTAGGCATTTAGTGCTATAAATTTCCCTCTACACACTGCTTTGAATGTGTCCCAGAGATTCTGGTATGTGGTGTCTTTGTTCTCGTTGGTTTCAAAGAACATCTTTATTTCTGCCTTCATTTCGTTATGTACCCAGTAGTCATTCAGGAGCAGGTTGTTCAGTTTCCATGTAGTTGAGCGGCTTTGAGTGAGATTCTTAATCCTGAGTTCTAGTTTGATTGCACTGTGGTCTGAGAGACTGTTTGTTATAATTTCTGTTCTTTTACATTTGCTGAGGAGTGCTTTACTTCCAACTATGTGGTCAATTTTGGAATAGGTGTGGTGTGGTGCTGAAAAAAATGTATATTCTGTTGATTTGGGGTGGAGAGTTCTGTAGATGTCTATTAGGTCTGCTTGGTGCAGAGCTGAGTTCAATTCCTGGGTATCCTTGTTGACTTTCTGCCTCGTTGATCTGTCTAATGTTGACAGTGGGGTGTTAAAGTCTCCCATTATTAATGTGTGGGAGTCTAAGTCTCTTTGTAGGTCACTGAGGACTTGCTTTATGAATCTGGGTGCTCCTGTATTGGGTGCATAAATATTTAGGATAGTTAGCTCCTCTTGTTGAATTGATCCCTTTACCATTATATAATGGCCTTCTTTGTCTCTTTTGATCTTTGTTGGTTTAAAGTCTGTTTTATCAGAGACTAGGATTGCAACCCCTGCCTTTTTTTGTTTTCCATTGGCTTGGTAGATCTTCCTCCATCCTTTTATTTTGAGCCTATGTGTGTCTCTGCACGTGAGATGGGTTTCCTGAATACAGCACACTGATGGGTCTTGACTCTTTATCCAACTTGCCAGTCTGTGTCTTTTAATTGCAGAATTTAGTCCATTTATATTTAAAGTTAATATTGTTATGTGTGAATTTGATCCTGTCATTATGATGTTAGCTGGTGATTTTGTTCATTAGTTGATGCAGTTTCTTCCTAGTCTCGATGGTCTTTACATTTTGGCATGATTTTGCAGGGGCTGGTACCGGTTGTTCCTTTCCATGTTTAGCGCTTCCTTCAGGAGCTCTTTTAGGGCAGGCCTGGTGGTGACAAAATCTCTCAGCATTTGCTTGTCTATAAAGTATTTTATTTCTCCTTCACTTATGAAGCTTAGTTTGGCTGGATATGAAATTCTGGTTTGAAAATTCTTTTCTTTAAGAATGGTGAATATTGGCCCCCACTCTCTTCTGGCTTGTAGGGTTTCTGCCGAGAGATCCACTGTTAGTCTGATGGGCTTTCCTTTGAGGGTAACCCGACCTTTCTCTCTGGCTGCCCTTAACATTTTTTCCTTCATTTCAACTTTGGTGAATCTGACAATTATGTGTCTTGGAGTTGCTCTTCTCGAGGAGTATCTTTGTGGCGTTCTCTGTATTTCCTGAATCTGAACGTTGGCCTGCCTTGCTAGATTGGGGAAGTTCTCCTGGATAATATCCTGCAGAGTGTTTTCCAACTTGGTTCCATTCTCCACATCACTTTCAGGTACACCAATCAGACGTAGATTTGGTCTTTTCACATAGTCCCATATTTCTTGGAGGCTTTGCTCATTTCTTTTTATTCTTTTTTCTCTAAACTTCCCTTCTCGCTTCCTTTCATTCATTTCATCTTCCATTGCTGATACCCTTTCTTCCAGTTGATCGCATCGGCTCCTGAGGCTTCTGCATTCTTCACGTAGTTCTCGAGCCTTGGTTTTCAGCTCCATCAGCTCCTTTAAGCACTTCTCTGTATTGGTTATTCTAGTTATACATTCTTCTAAATTTTTTTCAAAGTTTTCAACTTCTTTGCCTTTGGTTTGAATGTCCTCCCGTAGCTCAGAGTAATTTGATCATCTGAAGCCTTCTTCTCTCAGCTCGTCAAAATCATTCTCCATCCAGCTTTGTTCTGTTGCTGGTGAGGAACTGCGTTCCTTTGGAGGAGGAGAGGCACTCTGTGTTTTAGAGTTTCCAGTTTTTCTGTTCTGTTTTTTCCCCATCTTTGTGGTTTTATCTACTTTTGGTCTTTGATGATGGTGATGTACAGATGGGTTTTCGGTGTAGATGTCCTTTCTGTTTGTTAGTTTTCCTTCTAACAGACAGGACCCTCAGCTGCAGGTCTGTTGGAATACCCTGCCGTGTGAGGTGTCAGTGTGCCCCTGCTGGGGGGTGCCTCCCAGTTAGGCTGCTTGGGGGTCAGGGGTCAGGGACCCACTTGAGGAGGCAGTCTGCCCGTTCTCAGATCTCCAGCTGCGTGCTGGGAGAACCACTGCTCTCTTCAAAGCTGTCAGACAGGGACACTTAAGTCTGCAGAGGTTACTGCTGTCTTTTTGTTTGTCTGTGCCCTGCCCCCAGAGGTGGAGCCTACAGAGGCAGGCAGGCCTCCTTGAGCTGTGGTGGGCTCCACCCAGTTGGAGCTTCCTGGCTGCTTTGTTTACCTAAGCAAGCCTGGGCAATGGCGGGCGCCCCTCCCCCAGCCTCGTTGCCGCCTTGCAGTTTGATCTCAGACTGCTGTGCTAGCAATCAGCGAGATTCCGTGGGCGTAGGACCCTCTGAGCCAGGTGTGGGATATAGTCTCGTGGTGCGCCATTTCTTAAGCCGGTCTGAAAAGCGCAATATTCGGGTGGGAGTGACCCGATTTTCCAGGTGCGTCAGTCACCCCTTTCTTTGACTCGGAAAGGGAACTCCCTGACCCCTTGCGCTTCCCAGGTTAGGCAATGCCTCGCCCTGCTTCAGCTCGCGCACGGTGCGCACACACACTGGCCTGCGCCCACTGTCTGGCACTCCCTAGTGAGATGAACCCGGTACCTCAGATGGAAATGCAGAAATCACCCGTCTTCTGCGTCGCTCACGCTGGGAGCTGTAGACCGGAGCTGTTCCTATTCGGCCATCTTGGCTCCTCCTCCTCCATAAGTACTAGTCTTAATGGGTATTTATTTTCTTACTATTCTGCACCAATGTTTCCCTGATTGACAATAGTTTTCCTGAAATGTATTCTTGGAATGGAATTCTATGATATGCTTAGAAAATTCTGCATACCTTATACTTCAGAATGTGTATGTAAAAGACTCCAGTAAATGATCCAGGGAAGCAAAAATATTTGTGAGTTTTGCGAGTTGTATTCATATGTGTATAAAATTCCCACAGCACTTTGGGTAACAATGCTCTGCACACTTTTCCTGTGCTCCTTTTATCCATTCCCACACTTCCAGCATTTCCTTTGACGTTTGATTTTCTTTATTTTTTTTTTACTCCAATGTTTTCCTGTAGGTTTCAGACCTATATTTTAAAATGTCAACTGATTCTCCCCCTCTGTCTTCACCACCTGCATCTCAAATTTGACATAGCCATAAACACATTTTATATTTTGGCAAATAAATCTATTTCTTTTAAAGCATTGCCCATCTCAGCTAATGATGATAATATCAAGCCAGTCGCCAAGAAAATTTAGAGTATATATACCTTGTCTCTTCCTTCTAAATGAATTATTAAGTTCAGATGTTTCTACCTTGAATTACCTTTCTATTCCGCCATTTCTCTTCTGTATTGCTGCTAATGTTTTAATTTAGTCATTCATCACATCATGCCTGTACTGCTGGAATAATCTTGACTATTCTTTCTGACTTTTTCTTCTAACTGCATCTCAAAAACTTCTATCTAGAATGAAAATAAGTATATATATATACTATATATACATACATATATACACACACACTATATGTATGTGTATAGTATAAGTATAGACATGCTATATACTATATATATATGCTATATATTTATATACACACACACCCACCATGCTTTTAAAAATTGTTTACTTATGTCCCATCATTGAAGGATAAAATACAAAATCACTGATATTGAGAGACATTCTCCTCAATCATTTAACATTTTCCTTCACAAACCTGTGCTGTAGCCACACCCAGAACAGGTTATGTTCCTTCAAAGACACACACACTTTTCTATTACTCTCCTTTTACTCCTTCTATTCCATCTGCTTAGACCATTTTTTACTTGTTTTCTGTCTATCTTCATTCATTTTTCAGGATCCAATTTAAATATTGATACAAAGGCTGAGATCTTTATATCTTCTCTTATTTAAATTCCTGGAGCACCAGATAACTTCCTCTATTATAATTCTTACTGTATACACCCATAACTCTCATTTGAAAACAATAAATACATAATTATAAAATCAGATATATCATAAAATGATTGGTATCAATATGTGAAAAAAACTTCAATGTTGAAAGTACAAGATTACAAGCCATCTGAAAGTAACTAAACATCAATCAGAGAAAAATGCTCATCATTTTTTGATGAAACCAAAAGTAAGAGAATTTGGTATTAATCTACTACATCATTGGTAAATTACATATTAATTATTGTGAGAAAGAAATAATTGATGGAATTTAAAGAAAATCGGTTTTCCTTTATTTTTATTATTCTACCTTAAAGTATTACATTTAATTAAAATAATGATTTTAAAATTATCCCATCAAGTATGTCATCACACTAAAATCCATTGTATTTAATTTCTCAACTGAGAAATTGTATTCAATTGTATTCAATTTCTCTACTGAACAATTAATATGAAAGCAATCACATAGCATTCAGAAATTAATAAATATTTAAAGAAATTAAACAGCATTAGATTTTCTTGTTGTAAAATTTTTTTCTTCTCTCAGTATGGCTTATGTCTCATTGCTTCTATTGAACATAGCACAATTCAAGTATTAATACAACGCCTTTATAAAAGTTGTGAATCTCAGAAATGAACAAGCTTACCTCCCTAGTTATTTATTAAAAGTTACAAGCTACTTTTTTTAACTTCCTAATAATCTTAGAGGGGTATATTTTGTGTTTTTGTTTGCTATATCTTTTATAAAGAAGATCCCTAATGATTTGAAAGTTAGAACCAATTTTCTGAAGGATTGAGCTACACTCCTTGAACTTGTGTGTTTGTGGGTGGCACACTATGTCTTTTGCAGACCCGGTACCTACCCCTTGGTCTAGAACATATTTTCCTCCACCTGCCTTTTAAGTTTTTATTTCAGCAGGGGTGGGTGGTTTGTGGTTGACTGAAAATAGAACAGGCTACAAAAGCCCTTCCTGTTTGATATTGAATCTGCTATGTGAGTCACCCTTACATTATGAACTGTTAATTAACACATTTGGTAAGAGAATATCCTGATCTGCTTTGCATGTGAGGCTCTCCCAGTAATAAACAAAGAAGCATAATTAAACAAGATTTTAATTTCTCTATGCCCTGTCAGAAATTCAGATACAATTCAAGTCATCTTGGAAATTTTAAGTTGCATTCCCATGTCGTCTCTGTTCTGGCCATTGTGCAATGGGCCTTCAAATGTTGTAGTAGAAGCCAACTGATATTCCATTGTTATTCATTTATACATAGGTATATATAGGGGGTGTGTATGCAAAAATATATATAAATATTCATATATGTGTACATGTGTACATACATACATATGGAGGTAATACAAGTTTGCATTGTTTTTAAAATTTTTTACCCAAATTAACAATGACTCTATTGTATATCTTTATTGGTTATATCACATTTATATAAACAAATTTATATCAGTGAGAATTTTCAAGTAAGTGAAATTTGAATTGGATTCAGGGTTTTTTTTTTTGAAATTTCCGATTAAAATTACTTGATTTTTTAAATTTTATCTTAAAATATTCAAGTCCCATTTGTAAAAAAAAAATAGAGGATAAAAATGAAGTGTGTTATGAGTCACAAATTTTTATTTTACTTTAATAATTGTTAAAATAAAATTTTTTCCATGAGGCATTTTATAATGCCCTCTTTATTTATTTATTTTTTTGGTGATGTACTTTATTATTATTATTATTATTCCACTTTAAGTTTTAGGGTACATGTGTACAATGTGCAGGTTAGTTACATATGTATACATGTGCCATGCTGGTGCACTGCACCCACTAACTCGTCATCTAGCATTAGGAATATCTCCCAATGCTATCCCTCCCCCCTCCCCCACCCCACAACAGTCCACAGAGTGTGATGTTCCCCTTCCTGTGTCCATGTGTTCTCATTGTTCAATTCCCACCTATGAGTGAGAATATGCGGTGTTTGGTTTTTTGTTCTTGCGATAGTTTGCTGAGAATGATGATTTCCAATTTCATCCATGTCCCTACAAAGGACATGAACTCATCATTTTTTATGGCTGCATAGTATTCCATGGTGTATATGTGCCACAATTTCTTAATCCAGTCTATCATTGTTGGACATTTGGGTTGGTTCCAAGTCTTTGCTATTGTGAATAATGCCACAATAAACATATGTGTGCATGTGTCTTTATAGCAGCATGATTTATAATCCTTTGGGTATATACCCAGTAATGGGATGGCTGGGTCAAATGGTATTTCTAGTTCTAGATCCCTGAGGAATTGCCACACTGACTTCCACAATGGTTGAACTAGTTTACAGTCCCACCAACAGTGTAAAAGTGTTCCTATTTCTCCACATCGTCTCCAGCACCTGTTGTTTCCTGTCTTTTTAATGATTGTCATTCTAACTGGTGTGAGATGGTATCTCATTGTGGTTTTGATTTGCGTTTCTCTGATGGCCAGCGATGGTGAGCATTGTTTCATGTGTTTTTTGGCTGCATAAATGTCTTCTTTTGAGAAGTGTCTGTTCATGTCCTTCGCCCACTTTTTGATGGGGTTGTTTGTTTTTTTCTTGTAAATTTGTTTGAGTTCATTGTAGATTCTGGATATTAGCCCTTTGTCAGATGAGTAGGTTGCAAAAATTTTCTCCCATGTTGTAGGTTGCCTGTTCACTCTGATGGTAGTTTCTTTTGCTGTGCAGAAGCTCTTGAATTTAATTAGATCCCATTTGTCAATTTTGGCTTTTGTTGCCATTGCTTTTGGTGTTTTAGACCTGAAGTCCTTGCCCATGCCTATGTCCTGAATGGTACTGCCTAGGTTTTCTTCTAGGGTTTTTATGGTTTTAGGTTGAACGTTTAAGTCTTTAATCCATCTTGAATTGATTTTTGTGTAAGGTGTAAGGAAGGGATCCAGTTTCAGCTTTCTACATATGGCTAGCCCGTTTTCCCAGCACCATTTATTAAATAGGGAATCCTTTCCCCATTGCTTGTTTTTCTCAGGTTTGTCAAAGATCAGATAGTTGTGGATATGTGGCGCTATTTCTGAGGGCTCTGTTCTGTTCCATTGATCTATATCTCTGTTTTGGTACCAGTACCATGCTGTTTTGGTTACTGTAGCCTTGTAGTATAGTTTGAAGTCAGGTAGTGTGATGCCTCCAGCATTGTTCTTTTGGCTTAGGATTAACTTGGTGATGCGGGCTCTTTTTTGGTTCCATATGAACTTTAAAGTAGTTTTTTCCAATTCTGTGAAGAAAGTCATTGGTAGCTTGATGGGGATGGCATTGAATGTGTAAATTACCTTGGGCAGTATGGCCATTTTCACGATATTGATTCTTCCTACCCATGAGCATGGAATGTTCTTCCATTTGTTTGTATCCTCTTTTATTTCCTTGAGCAGTGGTTTGTAGTTCTCCTTGAAGAGGTCCTTCACATCCCTTGTAAGTTGGGTTCCTAGGTATTTTATTCTCTTTGAAGCAATTGTAAATGGGAGTTCACTCATGATTTGGCTCTCTGTTTGTCTGTTGTTGGTGTTTAAGAATGCTTGTGATTTTTGTACATTGATTTTGTATTCTGAGACTTTGCTGAAGTTGCTTATCAGTTTAAGGAGATTTTGGGCTGAGACAGTGGGGTTTTCTAGATATAAAATCATGTCATCTTCAAACAGGGACAATTTGACTTCCTCTTTTCCTAATTGAATACCCTTTATTTCCTTCTGCTGCCTAATTGCCCTGGCCAGAACTTCCAACACTATGTTGAATAGGAGCGGTGAGAGAGGGCATCCCTGTCTTGTGCCAGTTTTCAAAGGGAATGCTTCCAGTTTTTGCCCATTCAGTATGATATTGGCTGTGGGTTTGTCATAGATAGCTCTTATTATTTTGAGATACGTCCCATCAATACCTAATTTATTGAGAGTTTTTAGCATGAAGGGTTGTTGAATTTTGTCAAAGGCCTTTTCTGCATCTATTGAGATAATCATGTGGTTTTTGTCTTTGGTTCTGTTTATATGCTGGATTACATTTATTGATTTGCATATATTGAACCAGCCTTGCATCCCTGGGATGAAGCCAACTTGATCATGGTGGATAAGCTTTTTGATGTGCTGCTGGATTCGTTTTGCTAGTATTTTATTGAGGATTTTTGCATCAATGTTCATCAAGGATACTGGCCTGAAATTCTCTTTTTTGGTTGTGTCTCTACCCGTATATTGCCCTCTTTAAAGGCTCAAAATCTCAAATGCAGAAAGAATGACTTTTAAATATCCTACATATTTAAACCATTTATTTTTTACAGCAATCCCATATATGCAAAACTGCTACTAAAAAACAAGTAACCTAAGCCGAATTAAATAAAAGTATACAAAGAAAAAATTAGCCGTCTGTGGTGGTGGATTCCTGTAATCCCAGCTACTCATGAGGCTGAGGCAGGAGATTTGCTTGAACTCAGGAGGTGGAGGTTGAAGTGAGCCGAGATCCCACCACTGCACTCCAGCTTGGACCACAGAGCTAGACTGTGTGAAACAAAAAATAAAAAAAAGAAAAGAAAAGAAAGAAAGAAATTACTTATTTTACACTTGCTCTTCTGTGTTTAGTTTCGAAATTATCATCTTCATGCAAAGTATTTAGCACTGTGCCTGGCAGATAGAAAAAGTTAGCTTTTATTTATTTATTTATTTATTTATTTATTTATTTATTTGAGACAGTCTTGCTGTGTCTCCAGGCTGCAGTGCAGTGGTGCAACCTTGGCTCATTGCAACCTCTGCCTCCCGAGTTCAAGCAATTCTCTTGTCAGCCTCCTGAGTAGCTAGGATTACAGGCATGCACCACCACGCCAAGCTAATTTTTTTTTAATTTTATTTTTTAAGTAGAGATGGGGTTTCACCATGTTGGCCAAAATGGTCTATGTCTCTTGACCTTCTGATCTGCCCGCCTCGGCCTCCCAAGTTGCTGGGATTACAGGTGTGAGCCACTGCACCCAGCTGCTAGCTATTATTTCTAATCCTTTGCCATGCTCAGATATAATCTTCCCAAATCCAGAAGTAATTTTATAACTTCAGCTAATTGCAGTGATAAATTATTGAAATATTTTCCTAAAGAAAATACACAAATGAAACCTTAAAAATACAAGGACTGGGCTGGGCACAGTGGCTCGCGCCTGTAATTCCAGTACTTTGGGAGGCCGAGCTGTGTGGATCACCTGAGGTCAGGATTTCGAGACAAGCCTAGCCAACATGGCGAACCGTCGTCTCTACTAAAAATACAAAAATTAGTTGTGCATGGTGGTGGGCCCCTGTAATCCCAGCTACTCGGGAGGCTGAGGCAGGAAAATCACTTGAACCTGGAGGTGGAAGTTGAAGTGAGTCTAGATCTCACTGCTGGACTGCAGCCTGGGGCAATAGAGCAAAAACTGTCTAAAAAAAAAAAAAAAGACTGGGCGCGGTGGCTCATGCCTGTGATCCCAGCACTTTGGGAGGCCAAGACGGGCAGATCACGAAGTCAGGAGATGGAGACCATCCTGGCTAACACAGTGAAACCCCGTCTCTACTGAAGATGCAAAAAATTAGCGGGCATGGTGGTGGATGCCTGTAGTCCCAGCTACTCAGGAAGCTGAGGCAGGAGAATGGTGTGAACCCGGGAGGCAGAGCTTGCAGTGAGCTGAGATAGCGCCACTTCACTCCAGCTTGGGCAACAGAGGGAGACTCTGTCTCAAAAAAAGAAGAAAGAAAGAAAGAAAGAAAGAAAGAAAGAAAGAAAGAAAGAAATAGTAAATTATGAAAGAGAAAAAGAGAGAATAAGTATCTTCAACAAGAAAAATGAAAATAATAAAAACTATACAATTGCAAAACAATAACTGTTGTTAAAATATTTTACATGTCATATTGTAAATAAGACACCCTTAGTGTATGCAGAAATGATTACATTAGTATAGGAAACTGCTGTGATTGTAGATATATAAACTAGAGAAATGCAAATCAGAAACAAGTTTATCAACTAGAAGAGAGAAGAAATTTTTATTTGAGTAAATCTACTGTCTATAATTTAAAAATACACAATGGTATTTCTTTCATTAAATAGCTTTATTTAAATATAAAAATAAAAGCTTATACATAGGCCAGAAGAAATATTGCTGGTTTATAATAAGGTTCATAGGAACTAAAACAGGGTAATTATATAAGACGGTGTGTAAATAATTATGTTATTTTAGTAAAAATATCCAACACTGTACCTTTCAAATAAAAATATACCTTTTTAAAGGTCAACAAAAGTTATTGTGCTTCAAATTTTAACATTTATCCTCCAAGTGAAATTACTAAAAGAAGAAACAACTAACCTATAAATAAATAATCTACTTTTTGGAAAAGTTAACAAACCTCTCTACACACAATATAATTAAGAAAGATAATAAGAAACATATATAATTTCAAGATTTTCAATTTTTTTTTGCTAAGCCAGAGAAGATAAATGAGTTAATCATTCATGTCAGTAAGTAAATACAGGATCAAAAAACATACCTAATGGAAGGAAATTAATAACAGAAAAGTAAAAATTATAATCTAGAAAATGAAATATATAAATCGATTCATAAATGGATAAGACTTTTAAGACTTTTTTTGAAGAAATCATTTCAAACTGGAATAAGCAAGAGGAATAGATCAAAACAAAAAGGAAAACAGTGAAGGTGATATACACATCCTCTTACTGAAAATTAATTTTAAAGAACTGCTTTGTAAACACTAAAACTCAGAGTCATCAATGTGTCTGGATATGGATTCATTTTTATTTCTTCTGCTCAGCACTTGTTTTATACTTTAAATTAGAGTCCTCAAGTCTTTCCTCTGCAATGGAAATTTTATGGCATCGTGTAAAGTATACAAATAGTGAAGGCATTGCCAGTGTTTTCTTGTGTATAAGTATTCTCTACCATTAGAATGGAAACGTCATCAAAGTGGGCCCTTAGTGAGAATGTGCTGAGTGGATGAATACTGTCCTTAAATATGGCTTCTCCATTCTCTTTGGACTCCTTTTGAAACTCCTATCATACATGTGTTGGGGACTTTCTTGACTGGTCTTTCTGACTTTTAAATCCTTTTATCTGGATAAATTCATCATTATCTCCCAATTGACTAATTCTTTGTGTTTATTGCATTTACACTTCTTTTTTATATAATTTTCATTTCTAGTGCTTTTATTTTTTTTTTCCTTTTTTGAGATGGAGTCTTGCTCTGTCACCCAGGCTGAAGTGCAGTGGCATGATCTCGGTTCACTGCAACCTCCTACTCCTGGGTTCAAGTGACTCTCTTCCTGCCTCAGCCTCCTCTCCTGCTTCAGCCTCCTGAGTGGCTGGAATTACAGGCATGTGCCACCACACTCGGCTAATTTTTGAATTTTTAGTAGAGACGGGGTTTCATTATGTTGGTCAGCCTGGTCTAGAACTCCTGATATCATGATCCACCCGCCTCAGCCTACCAAAGTGCTGGGATTACAGGTGTGAGCCACCACGCCTGGCTGCTTTTAATTTTTTATATCAATCTTTACTTTGTTCTTTTTTGCCTGCTTTTTTTTTTCCCCAGATTCTTACTCTGTTGCCCCAGCCAGAGTGCAATGGCATGATCTCTGCTCACTGCAATCCCCCAGGGTTCTATCAATTCTCTTACCTCAGCCTCTGGAGTAGCTGGGATTGCAGGCACCTGCCATCATTCCCAGCTATGGTTTCGCCATGTTGGCCAGGTTGGTCTTGAAGTCCTGACCTCAGGTGATCCACCCACCTTGGCCTCCCAATGTGTTAGGATTACAGGCGTAAGCCATTACGCCTGGTTTTTTGCCTGTTTTTATTTATATTTTTTTCTTTTCTTTTTTTTTTTTTTTGAGATGGAATCTAGCTCTGTCTCCCAGGCTGGCGTGCAGTGGCGCGATCTCAGCTCGCTGCCAGCTCTGCCTCCCAGGTTCATGCCATTCTCCTGCCCCAGCCTCCCGAGTAGATGGGACTACAGGTGCCCGCCACCATGCTGGGCTAATTTTTTTGTATTTTTAGTAGAGAGAGGGTTTCACTGTGTTAGCCAGGATGGTCTTCATCTCCTGACCTCGTGATCCACCCAACTCGTCCTCCCAAAGTGCTGGAATTACAGGAGTGAGCCACCACACTTGGCGTCTGTTTTTATTTTTAAGTCTTCTATTCTTTTTGATGAATTTTATTCCTTTTTTTTTTTTTTGGCAGAGGCTCACTCTGTTTCCCAGGTTGGAGTACAGTGATGCCATCTTGGCTCACTACAAAGTCCGCCTCCTGAGGTCAAGCAATTATTCTGCCTCAGCTTCTTGAGTAACTAGGATTACATGCACCCACCACCGTGCCCTGCTAATTTTTGAATTTTTAGTAGAGATGGGGTTTCACGGTGTTTGCCAGGCTGGTCTTGAACTCCCGACCTCATATGATTTACCCATCTCAGCCTCCCAAGGTGCTGGGATTACAGGCGTCAGCCACCATGCCTGGCCCTGGATGTTTTCTTCTTAAAAAGCCAGTTGAGAATTCTAAGTGTACTCACTTAAAAGGAAAACTTAGTTTGCTATAATATTTCTCATATTTGTTGTGGTGAATTCATCTCTAGGAGGTTTCTTTGTATAATTATTTCATTATCTCTCTAATAGTTAATTCTCCACATGTTTTGTAATATTTTTGCACACTCACCTTGAATGAGAAGTTCTCTACAGGTTATAGTCATATAACAAACAGAATTCACCCTCCTTCACCACTAATCACACTTCTGTATATTCAATAAAATGTGCATTTCTTCATGGATACTCTTTGAATCATCTAAATGGAGACTCTTTATAGAAGTATTGAATCATTAATTCTTCCAACTACTGTACTCCTTTCCAACATACTGTCTTACTGATTTTTCACTTTTTCCTATTTATATCCATTTTGTTCTACTAACCCGTCTGTCATTGGCCTTCTTCTATAGCCAACCTCAAATTTCAGTTCACACTAGCTGTGAACAGCACTCAAATTGCTGCTGTATTCTTAAAATATAAATTTACTTCATAAAGCAAAAGTGAATTATATGCATGTTACAAAAAATATTCCTAGCAGAGATAAGATGGGATGGTATTTGCTGGGATGTGCAGCATCATTTTTTCCAAATTAATTTCTCTCAGAATTCTCTCCTCCCTACTGCCAGGCAGAGCTCACCACTCACATGTCATGAATGACATTTTTAGTCATTTTTCGTCTTATCTGATCATATGACTTGAATTAATGTTTAGATCTGCTAAGGGCAAACACCACCATGGAATTAAATTGGCAAGAGGGAAGAAGGAGGAAGCAGGAGAAGGTGGGTAGAGTCTTCAGACTAGGGTGCAGATCTTACACCTGTAGAGGGAAAGAGGGAAGGAAGGCTGATTGGAGTAGAAAGAGACTGCAGCATGGTTCCAAGAATGCTTTGGCCTAGGTCACTGCGGACTCCTTAAATTAAAGTTACTCATTGGAGACTCTCACAACTCACTAGAAACGTCCTCACATACAATCCCCATGTAGCTCTATGACCGTTGGAAACATGACTGCTGCACAAGTGTAGAAGTGCTTCCAGAGACAGAGGGCTAAAGCCAGGCTGTCGCTGACTTATGCTGTCTGATTCAGGATATCTGCATTGCAAATTTCCTTGGTCATTAAAATCCATTACCCCCACCTCCTAACCCCACCACAGCACACACATATTTGTCCAAACAGGTTCTTCATACCAGCTCTTCCAAAATTCCCATGATCCTCTCTTTTCCAAGGGGAATCTTAGAAAAGGAAGGTTAATGAGACCAACTATTGCCCATGCTATAGCAGTTGGTCTCAGAACTTCCTTTGAATGCCCAGTTGTTTGAGGGGGAGAGAAAGAGAGAGAGAGAGTATGGGAATGGGGAGTGTGTGTGTGTGTGTGAGTGTGTGTGTGTGAGTGTGTGTGTGTGTGTGTGAGAGAGAGAGAGAAATTATCTCTGCTTCTTTTGTAGAAAAGTAGCCCTGCCTCCTCCTACTAATCAGGGTGTATTCATCCTGCCCCAGTGGTGACGTATTTCTTGTCTTTTGGTTACTGGACCTAAGGAATCTAAAGCACCTAACAGATAACATTCTTTAGAGAGCAGGACTTGCCTGCCTTCCAGAGCCCAGAGCTGCAGTGATGAGAAGCACAGGAAAACCTGAGAAGATTATTGGGAGCATTTGTAATTAGGGACATTCCTGTTTCTACCTCTTGTTTTCTGAACCTGTAGATTCTTCCTATGGAAGAACAACTACTATATAAAGATCTGTGATAGAATATGTATAAAAGATGGTGCCCCCTGCATTCAGAATGTCTCCTTTAGCATAGTGCCTCAGTTGCATCTTTAGAATGTTTCTCCAGGGCTCCATGAGTCTAGCTGCTTCTTGAAGAGTGTATGTAATACAAATAGTAGATCACATGGTCATGGACCCACTTCTGCCCATCCTTTGCTGTGAACAAGGAAACCTGGTCAAATGCTATACCATGTGGGATTTTATGCCTGTGGATCAGGAATTCTGGAAGCCTCAGAAAAGTGGTCCTGGCTCAGGCTCTGTGAACAGAAGTGCCAAACCCAGCCCTGGAATAAGGATATATCCCTCTGAGGATGAAAAGTTGGTCATTCAAGGTCAAAAGACTTGCCATATAAGAGTCTCATTATTGATTTATGCTGTTGAAAAGTAGGACAGTCAGAGGCAGCAGTAGTTAGATAAACCTTGATACATAGAAGTCCAGGCTGTGGGGCCCATATGTATCGTCCATCTCTGCTAACATGGTCATATGAGTGACTGCATATGTGTGACTGTTGTGCTTGTTGTGGGAAAGCCAATCTCCAAGGCTGGCAGCTTGTCAAGTCATTTTGTCTGATTGGTTATTGAGTGCCTCTTCTCTGGTGAGTGCTTTCTTGTGAGTGTTAACATGCAATACAAGATTCTTTACACTCCATGCCTGCTCCTGCATGTCCACTCATATGCTTCTAACCCAGCTTCCTTGTCTCAGATATTTCAGTTCTTTTCTATCTAAGCCTCTGACAAGATGATTCACCCACTGACTACGGCAAAGAAATCTGTTTATATTCCTGCCTTAGGCCATGCTTCTTCTATGTAAAGTAGATGGCCAGGGCCATTGCTCCCAGTGCTGCTAATAGGGAATATTTTAATTTCCTTCTGTCTTTCAGAGTCATTCTTGCATTGGGCTGCAATGCAACTACACCTTTAAACAGAGATTGCCCCTTTCTCCCTCCTTCAGATGGCCACAGGGACACAAATGCAGTCACAGGTGTGAGCTGAAGGAAGGTTGCTGGTGGAAACATGGTGGGTGACATGAGGATCTGGGTTACCTGCTATTCAACTTATCCACTTGCTCTCATCTTGCTTGGCCTTTGTCTTATATTTACTATTTCCACCTCATGATGAACTACTTCTTTTCCCTTCTGGTGTCATGACTCGGTGGTTCCAATAGAACTCAGCCTGCAAGAGGTAGCACCAGAAGCATGGTAACTTATCAAGCACAGCATCTCTCCTAGGTCCAACATATAATTCTCTGCTATGGAGGGCATGGCTTTGTTTCAGAATCCCAGGAGCTGGTGTTGTAATTCTTTCACTGAGAATTGCCATGTGTGCCACACTGCGACCACCATTGACATCTGCAAGAATACAGGTCCTGCAAGGTCATATGACCCAAGCTGCAGGGCTGTTCACAATGGAGCCTGGACATGCTGTGGAGCCCTGTCCTGCCCTGTACTCTTCAAACCCTGTGGTCTTCCTAGCTCCCTGACTTGTCTTGTGGCTTACTTGTGTTATGTTGCTTAGGGTTTCTTGAGTTTTATGAGTTTGTATTTTTATAACTGTATAGATATAGATGGATAGATATAGATATGGTCAAAGAGAGAAAGAAAAAGAATTTTACAAAAGACTTTACTGGACATGTAGAAAAAAATATCAAACTCCACCTCTATTTCCAGCACTTTGGAAGGCCAAGGTGGCTGAATCACAAGGTCAGGAGATCGAGACAATCCTGGCTAACACGGTGAAACCCCGTCTCTACTAAAAATATACAAAAAAAAAAAATAGCCAGGCGTGGTGGTGGGAGCCTGTAGTCCCAGCTACTCAGGAGGCTGAGGCAGGATAATGGCGTGAACCCAGGAGGCAGAGCTTGCAGTGAGCCGAGATCTTGCCACTGCACTCCAGCCTGGGTGACAGAGCAAGAATCCATCTCCAAAAAAAAAAAAAAAAAAAAATCAAACTCCATAGTGAGAAGTCAAACAACACAATAACAAAATGGGCAAGATATTTGAGTAGACGACAATAACCAAAGATATATGAATGATTGATAAACACTGAAAAATGCATCATTAACCACCTGGGAATGGAACTTAAAAATCAAAATGCAATAACACTGCACAGAAACTATAATGGATCCAAAAAATGTCAATTCTGAATGTTTGAGAGGACATACAACACCCTGAATTATCATATTTAGGTGGGACTATAAAGTGGATAATCAGTTTGGATTGCAGTTTGGCAGTTAAACATACACTTACAATTTGACCTAGACTATTCCATTCTTACTTACTCAAGAGAAATGAAAACATGTGCATACAAATGAACATAGCAGCTTTACTTGTGATAATCAAGGAATAGAAACATTTGTAAATGGTTCACCAAGAGGCTAAAGGATAAACATATTGTAGTATTTCCATACAATAGAATAAAATAGAAAGAACCACTGATTTTGCAACATAGGTGATCCTAAAATATATTGAGAGAATGAAATAACAGTAGGCATATTATAAAAGTTTATTATTACAAAATTCTAGAAACTGAATTTATAGTGGAAGTTTGCAGATCAATGGCTGCTTGGAGCCAGAGGTTTTGGTAAGGAGTACAAAAGAACTTTTGAGGTGATAGACAGCTTCAATATCTTCATTGGTGGTAGCCACATAACTTTATATGTTTGTACTTAATTTGGATGTATTTTATTGTATTGAAAGTAAACCTCAGTTAAGTTGACTTTTAAAATTTATTAGATTCTAAAACATTAATTTGCTTCCATCCATTATATTTATTCACAAATCCTACAATAGTATGTTTTGGAAGACCTGTAATAGACACAGTAACTGGCATATTCATAAAGGAAATTTCCTTATGTAGGATAGTTTTTAAGGGAAATGCCTGAAACAAAAAAATCTGCATCTGCTTATCATAATTCACTGCATAAAAGATCTAAATGTGTAACTGGCAATCAACTTAGCTTTGATTATCTTTCATAGCAGCATGGATCAATTATGTTTACCCAGTTGGCTATTTCTCCATGCTAAACTCATATTGCATACATGCCTCTGAAATTCCAGTCATGTATAGTCTATAATGTAAACCTATATTACACAATTTGTATACTTTTCCACTTTAAAGGGGGGATTTATACCTGCAAAGGGACTTGACCTACAACTATCATCCAATTCTGTTCCAAATTTTGGATACTATGACTCTATCCTGGAAATGATTCAGTAGTTTTGTTTCATTTGACTCTTCCTACAGACATAATGTGTTGAAGTAAACCTGTTTTTTATGTTTGGAAAGTAGCCTTTTGATGGGTGTTTTCTAGCTTTTGGAAAACATGTACTCGAAGCAGAAGTAACTAGTTGTTGAGGGAATAGAACCGCAGCATTTCTGACCTAGGCAAATTGAAACCTTGTCATCCTTGATGACAAACATAACATGACACATGATTGCCTTTTTCAGGGAGTTCTTATGTAAAATATTTTATCCCCAACTAGTTGGTATCATTCAAATCAAATTTTATAATTTTACTCTGTATTAGGATGCAGTTTTATAATTTCCAAAGCATCTTTACGCATATTTTTTCTCAAATAAATCCTACAGCAACTGTGTGAGATACTCAAAGGTGAGAATATTATCCCCATTTTACAACTGAGCAAGCAGACTTTAAGATTTGTTAACTTTTTAGAGCTGAAGTTTAGTCCACTATTTTATGTTATCAACCTTTGATTTGCTGTGCTATACCCACCAATTTAGAAAAGAATTTACCCAAGATTGTAACATATAATACAATTAATTTATTTGTTTTTCTCTCCCCTTGAAAACAGAAACAGTGGTGATTATGGAGTATCCACTGATTATTTTGCTGGGACAAGTTGATGTCACTAAATTTATAAATTGAACTGAACTGATAACCTCAGTTATTTTACCAAAATTCCTTCTTTTAATATTATATAAACTGTAGAATGCAGAAGAGGTACTTTTAATTTCTAATTATTTAAGTAGAGGAAGACTTAACACTTCCTTTTAGGCTCACACATAAAATTTCTGGTTGATACATCACCAGCGATTGTGTTTCAGCATGTATGTAAATGCAGCTTTCTGAATAGGCAAACTGATAGGAAATATGGAATATCATTGTATTTACATACAGCAGTATCTCAGACATCATTCCAAAAACTAAAGGACAATGAGGAAATATTTCCAAAAGCCATATTACAGTGCTTTGGGGGAGGTAAAAGAGAGAATGCTGCAATATGTTTTCCTGTTTGACTGACTCAAGCTACATTCTAGGAGATATTTTAAAAAGTTAATAAAATCTCTGTGTCATAGTCAAAAGATGTAAGGCAAACCACAATTATCCAAGGAAATCTGAAATGAATATTACTAAATACAACCTTCTGTATTTGGTTTTACTTACCTAGTATGTTGACTATGTCTGCTTATGGTTTTCTTACTTATGCCTACCTACACCATCTTTTAATTAAATGTGCTGATAAAATTTCATCTAAGTGCAGAATTTCCTTTGCTTGACACAAACACTTTGTTCTACTGTGAATCAACTGCTGGAGCTTTCTATTGTATGGATGTCTACAAAGGGATGTGCTGTAACTCAAGTATAAGTAGATGGTTCTTTCCTTGTTGTAAATCAAATTGGTATAACCTGTGACTGGGTTCGATGTGGCCCCAGTTTCCTGAGGCCTGTGAAAATTGCTAGGTTGCTCGTTTTCATTTTTTCTTATCACCTTAACTGGAGTTGGAGGCCCTTGCAAGTCCAGGACAATGACGTCTTAGGCAACCTCAGTTGTCTAGTGTGACTTAATAAGCCTGATGTATGTAGTAGAACCAATCTTTTCTTTTATATATATTGCCATTTTAAGTTATGTGAACCTTATTCTCTAGGTTACAGGTATTGGATTATTTTAGTTCTTTATTATAATAAGCAAGGTGTTAATTTGTTTGTTGTTGTTGTTGTTGTTTGAGACAGAGGCTCGCTCTATCGCCCAGGCTGGAGTGCAGTGACGTGATCTTGGCTCACTACAAGCTCCACCTCCCGGGTTCACGCCATTCTCCTGCCTCAACCTACTGGGTAGCTGGGATTACAGACACCTGCCACCATGCCCAGCTAATTTTTTGTATTTTCAGTGGAGACAGGGTTTCACCCTGTTAGCCAGGATGATCTCGATCTGCTGATCTCATGATCCGCCCACCTCAGCCTCCCAAAGTGCTGGGATTATAGGCGTGAGCCACCAAGCCCTGCCCGCTAATTTGATTTTTTAACTCCTAAATTCTACCACTTTCCTTACTCGCTTTCTAATGAAAATTGATGGAGAAAATAAACTGAAAATATCACAATTCTAACTATTCCACTATTTTGAGATTCTAAAATTATTGGCTTTTGGTGTTCACTGATTCATGTCGGATTTTTAGTAGCATAATCAAACCTTTTTTTGGCAATGGTATAGAGTGCAAAATGCAAAGCCATTTGCCATGGTGTAGATGCTCACAGTATGCCCCTGCATCTAAAGAGATACTATTCTCCAACATAAATCAGACATATAGAAAATACTTACAGCACAGAAAATATGAACTATGGCATAGAAATACATTAAATTAGCTAAATGACATCCCTAATAAAAATCTGAATCTGGCCGGGCACGGTGGCTCAAGCCTGTAATCCCAGCACTTTGGGAGGCCGAGGTAGGCGGATCACCTGAGGTTATTTCGAGACCAGCCAGGCCAACATGGTCTGCAAAAAAAGAATACAGAAATTAGCTGGGCATGGTGGCAGGCACCTGTAATCCCAGCTACTTGGGAGGCTGAGGCAGGAGAATCACTTGAACCCGGGAGACAGAGGTTGCAATGAGCTCAGATTGTGCCATTGCACTCCAGCCTGTGCGACAAGAGCAAAACTCCATCTCAAAAAAAAAAAAAAAAAAAAAGAATCTATTCTAAAACTGGGAATTTTATGTTTAAGTAGATTCACTTAATTTTTTCCTATAATCTCCCGGGACAAATAAATGTTTTCCACAGTTGCGCTTAACAAACTGAAGAACTGGAAGGAGAAACAACATTATTAATAATTACTTCCAGAGTGGGGCGTGGCTCACATCTGTAATCCCAGCACTTTGGGAGGCCGAGGTGGGCTCATCACGAGGTTAAGAGATCGAGACCATCCTTGCTAACACGGTGAAAACCAACCTGTACTAAAAATACAAAAAATTAGCCGGGCATAGTGGCGGGCGCCTGTGGTCCCAGCTACTTGGGAGTCTGAGGCAAGAGAATCGCTTGAGGAAGGCTGGCCAACTTGGCTAAACCCCATCTCTACTAAAACTACAAAAATTAGCTGGGCATGTTGGCGCATGTCTGTAATCCTAGCTACTCCCAGAGGCTGAGACAAGAGAATCGCTTGATCCCGGGAGGCGGAAGTTACAGCAAGCCGAGATCACGCCACTCCACTCCAGCCTGCTCTACAGAACAAGACTCCGTCTCTCAAAAAAAAAAAAAAAAAAAAAAAAAAAAAAAAAATACTTCCTACGATGCATGATTAGAATACAAAGTTTTCTATTCTTTTCTTTTAAAAATAAATATCTTAGCTGCCTGTTTTCATTCTGGCCATCAAAATTGCCTAAAGTCTTTGTGGGCAATATCATCAACCCTTGAGGGAAATTCAAGATATTCCCAACACAGAAATATTCTTAGCTGAAAAGAGTATGGGATGACAATTTTCAACCTGGCATATATATAAAGAAGAAAAATGTTGGGTAAATGAACAGCAAAAGAAAGATGACATTCATATGTCCTATGCAATTCTGAATACTTATTTTATGTAGGTGAATATTTTAATGAAAGACATTTATTGATCCAAAATATTTTTTAACTTAACGAACTTTGGCAAAACAATGCCCTTCAGTCAGTGACTATATTATCAAGTTTCACCTACCTCTGTTCAAGGAAACAAAAATAATAGTAATTCCATACTCAGTATGTGTGAGAAAATAAGAGCTGTGTTTAGTTCTAATTATTTTGAGTTATGCCACATAACACATAACAGTATACATTTATTTTGAGTTCATATGTAGAATTAGACTACTTTTTAATTTTGGGAACATGGAGAACAATATTATAGGATTATATTAGTAAGGCTGTGGTAAATACTAACATTAAGCTCTCCTTATGTGACACACACAGTTCCTTCACCAAAATGGGCAAAATTTTAGCTGAAGACTTATAATGAAGCCTAGATATTCATGAAGCAATTAAACAACTTGACCATTATTAGAATATAGTAAATACATGCATGTGCAATACCAGCCTCTTTTTTTCTCACTTTATGTTTTTTGAATGTCATTAGATTTACATATCCTGCTAACATAACATAAAAACAAACCTTAAGTTTCAAGAAATTAACAATTCTAGTTACATACTATTTACATGTTTTTCTTATTAACTATTAGTTATTTCAAAACTTACCTTTTATGTTTTGAGATAAAAAATATCTAATAGAAATATAGTTTTTTGAGAAGAATGCCTTTTTTATTATTTTTATTTTTATTTCTTTATTTTTTGTTTGAGACAACATCTTGCTCTGTCACCCAGGCTGGTGTGCACTGGCATGATGTTGGCTCACTGCAATCTCTGCCTCCCAGGTTCAGGTGATTCTCCTTCTTCAGCCTCCCAGGCAGGTGGGATTAGAGTAGCATGCCACCACACCTGGCTAATTTTTGTGTTTTTAGTAAACATGGAGTTTTACCATGTTGGCTAGGCTGGTCTTGAACTCCTGACCTCAAGTGATCCATCCTCAGCCTCCTAAAGTACTGGGATTACAGGCATGAGCTACTGCACCTGGCTCTTTTTAAATTATTTTTAAAGGATACTTTAGTTTTCCTAGTAATCCATGTGAATGTATTCTCTATGAACTATAGTGTGTGTGTTTACTTTTTATATATAGAATACTACTGAGGAACAAGCTGTTTCTGTAAATGAAATGGGACTGAACCTCTACCTTGGTTGTGTTCTACATGTTACAGAGACCTGGACAGAGACAGTATGATCATCTCATGAACATCACATAATCTCCTGTCACAGTCCCAAGATAAAACATTTCCTTAAAATCAAGACTTGCTTTAATAACCATCACATTTATTACAACAATACCTTCCCACTATAATCAATATGGATATAAACAGCCTTTGTTCTATTTTTCTCATACTTGGAAGACTTTTGCTTTCATTCCATGAAAATCTTGTATTTCTCTTCAATTATTCTAATTAGAAAAATAGTGCTGGAGGAGAAAAAATAAAACAGCACAGAAAGGAAAGGGGCTCCTGCAATGCACTGTTTAGACAGATAAGGTAGCCAGGCCAGGTGATGGTCAGGTAGGGATTGCCTTCTTCTCTCTGGTGGTGAGAATTGAGAATTGCTGAGAGGTGTGCAAGTGGAGCTGATTGAGCCAGAGCACAGTCCAGCTTTCTTCCATGTTCTCTACATAAAATAATCAATAATCTTCAGCATTAAGACCTCATGATCTCATGTTTTGAGAAGGAGAGTTGAGAAACACCTACTAGTCTTATGATAGGTTGAGTACTTTAAAGAGTTTTGGGCCAGGTGTGGTGACTCACGCCTGTAATCCCAGCACTTTGGGAGGCTGAGGCACGTGGATCACGAGGTCAGGAGATCGAGTCCATCCTGGCCAACATGGTGAAACCCCATCTCTACTAAAAATACAAAAATTTAGCCGAGCATGGTGGCACGCACCTGTAGTCCCAGCTACTCGGGAGGCTGAGGCAAGAAAATCCCTTGATCTGGGGAGGTGGAAATTGCATGAGCTGAGATTGCACCACTGCACTCCAGCCTGGGTGACAGAGTTAGACTCCATCTCAAAAAAAAAAAAAAAAAAAAAAAAAAAAAAAAAAAAAAAAAAAAGAATTTTGAAGCTTCTTAATTCCATTTATTTAAGACATTATTCTCATTGGGATTAGGGGGGAATCCCTGAATTTTGGTAAAAACAAATCCAAGCCACAAAATCAGAAAAAAAAAGGGAAGATATAGGATGATGCGTTTCGTTCTTCATATGAATATGCATTTTACAATTATATAACTAAGACCAATTTCGGATTTATTTCCAGGCTTGGAGATAACTTATGGAAACTTTTAACATTAAAGTTAAATTTGCAATTCAGAATTAATCCATACATTATTTCACTGTTTTCTTGTTAATATTAAATTCTGCTTACTCAGTAAAGTTTATTATTTGAATATAACAAGAATGTGTGAATTGTAAATTCCATGCTAAAGTCTGGAACATTTCTACAAAATTCAGTTTAGCAAATATTTGTTAAGACTTCAGTCAAAGCCTTTTACAACTGCACTGCTCTAGGTTTTGAGGACTCAAAATAATCTCTGCTCACAAACCAGACATGCAGACAAATAAGGTTCTATGTATTAAGGTCAATAATAGAATTTTGCTGAAGACAAAATATTATCGCAGACACAAAAAAATTAGCCAGGCATGGTGGCAAGTGCCTGTAATCCAAGCTACTCAGGAGGGTAAGGAAGGAGAATAGCTTGAACCCAGGAGGCAGAGGTTGCAGTGAGCCAAGATCACATCACTGCACTCATCTTGGGCAACAGAGTGAGACTTCATCTCAAAAAAAAAAAAAAAATCTTGATTCCTTTATCCCCTGTGCTTCACAGCATTCAGAGTCTTCCATATTTTCTGGGAGTTTCTTGGTTAGTTGGGCTTGGCCTCTCCTCACTTACTGTTGGTGCCTGCCCTCTTCTCTGTGCTCCAGAGCAGATCATGTTTTCTCTACTCAGTTCCCTCTAGTGAGGAGACTCATTCCACTTTCACCCCCACCTTAGCACCAAGCACCATTAATTCAAGACCACTATGAGGAGGAGATAAGGGAGAATTACATCCCAAGAAGAGCAGCAAAATGCATAAACATGCATATATATATACACATATATGCATATATAAGCACATATACACACATATACATATATATACATATATACATACACACATATATACACGTATACACATATATACACACACACATATATACATGCATATATTGCCACCACTATCCTGAATCTCCTCATTTATTCTCAACAGAAGGAATTTCTCCACCCCACCCTACCATTTTCTTGGAACTTCTAGTCTCTCTCACATTATTAATTCTACACCTGGGGCTGCCTTGCCCCCTCTTGCTAACTGCCTGGTGGTAACTTGGCACTCCTCTTAGTTACTACTTAACGTTACAGCTCACCCTTTTTTACATCATATTTATGAAGCATTAAATATTCTAAAAGTGGCCGGGCGCAGTGATTCATGCCTGTAATCTCAGCACTTTGGGAGGCCAAAGCTGGCGGATCACGAGGTCAGGAGTTCAAAACCTCCTGACCAACATGGTGAAACCCTGTCTCTACTACAAATACAAAAATTAGCTGGGCATGATGGAGTGTGTCTGTAATCCCAGCTGCTCAAGAGGCTGAGGCAAGATAATCACTTGAACCTGGGAGGCAGAGGTCACAAAGAGCCGAGATTTGTGCCACTGCACTCCAACCTGGGTGACAGAGCAAGACTCTCAAAAAAAAAGAAAAAAAAAAACAAGCTACTTTGTCTAGGGTACCCTATTATACCAAGGAATTTAGTGCCTCATGAAAAAAGGTTCTCAAGGATGTTTTTCTAAACAATAGAACCTTCTACCTTAGAAATCATTTATGATATTATCCAACATCATTATTTTTTATTTTATATATATTTTTCACTACAATAAAAATCTTTCAAATATATCAAAATACAATTTTATTAAAACAGAAAAGTTGTTTATTAGATAATCTTTTAATTTTAACATACTAATTTATCTATCGGGGTTCTATGTCATTCACTCAAGAAGATAATTCAATGAATAAATGTGGTAACTTCACATATCAGTAGAACTTTTTCACAAAAATGGACAATTTTTCATTTTTCAGAGTGAACACTGAGCCACCACCTGAGGAAAAATAAATGATCATTTTTTTTTTTTTTTTTTTTGAGACGGAGTCTCGCTCTGTCGCCCAGGCCGGACTGCGGACTGCAGTGGCACAATCTCGGCTCACTGCAAGCTCCCCTTCCCGGGTTCACGCCATTCTCCTGCCTCAGCCTCCCGAGTAGCTGGGACTACAGGCGCCCGCCACCGTGCCCGGCTAATTTTTTTTGTATTTTTAGTAGAGACGGGGTTTCACCTTGTTAGCCAGGATGGTCTCGATCTCCTGACCTCATGATCCGCCCGCCTCGGCCTTCCAAAGTGCTGGGATTACAGGCGTGAGCCACCGCGCCCGGCCAAATGATCATTTTTAACAATTAAAGTTACTATTTTTTTTAATCATCTGGTCTTTTAAGATGTTTTTAGACTTATAGATCAAGATAAGATGTTAGCATGCATTTATCCTTCTTTCAATTTGTATCCATCCCTAACTTATTTCTTCCTATTGTGCAATAGCTCATTATTAAGCTGAGCTTCCATTTTAC
This sequence comes from Homo sapiens, assembly GCF_000001405.40. Lineage (NCBI taxonomy): Eukaryota > Metazoa > Chordata > Mammalia > Primates > Hominidae > Homo > Homo sapiens. The sequence continues at coordinate 15,243,730 of NC_000022.11, forward strand.
TCATTCATGTTTATTTATGGGTCAGGCAAGTGAACTGCATACAAATTCACAAATTTTCTTTTTTTTTTTTTTTGAGATGGAATCTTGCTCTGTCGCCCAGGCTGTAGTCAGTGGTGCAGTCTTGGCTCACTGCAAGCTCTGCCTCCAGGGTTCATGCCATTCTCCTGCCTCAGCCTCCCGATTAGCTGGGACTACAGGCACCCACCACCACACCTGGCTAATTTTTTGTGTTTTTAGTAGAGACTGTTTTTCACCATGTTAGACAGGATGGTATGGATCTCCTGACCTCATGATCTGCCCACCTCAGCCTCCAAAAGTCCTGGGATACAGGCTTGAGCAACCGCGCCCGGCCTACAAATTTTCTTTGTAACTTACCTTATTATTAAATTGGTCTTCCTAATTCTTATTTTTTTATTTTTTGTTTTTTATTTTTTATTTATTTATTTTTTTGAGATGGAGTCTTGCTCTGTTGCCCAGGCTAGAATGCAGTGGTGCAATCTCAGCTCACAGCAACCTCCTCCACCTCCCGGGTTAAAGCCACTCTCCTACCTCAGCCTCCAGAGTAGCTGGGATTACAGGCATGCACCACCATGCCCGGCTAATTTTGTATTTTTGGTAGAGACAGGGTTTCTCCATGTTGGTCAGGCTGGTCTCAAACTCCCAACCTCAGGTGGTCTGCCTGCCTTGGCCTCCCAAAGTGTTGGAATTACAGGTGTGAGCCACCGCACCCAGCCTGGTCTTTTAAAATTTGACCTAAACAGTTCATCCTGTCATGTTCTTCATGAGAGATGAAGGTCCACTATTTTTCCCTTGTTATTTTAATAAAAACAACTATTTACCTTGAATATACTGAATATACACAAAATACATATTCATTTACACACCATGGCTTTTTAAAAGGGTTGTCCTTAGACGAGACCTCCAGGGATAGTTAAGCTGTAAATGGAAGGCTTCATATGTAAAGACATTTTCCTTTTGACCTTGTTTCTTATAGTGAGTGTGTGTGTGTGTCTGCTTTTAGTGGTAGAAGTTAAGGGGAATCTCTATGATTGTTTTTCTTTCTCTGCATTTATCCCTCACTTTCTTTTTTTTTTTGAAACAGAGTCTTCCTTTGTCAGTGCAGTGGCGTTATCTCGACTCACTACGACCTCTCCCTCCTGGGTTCAAGTGATTCTCATGCTCAGCCTCTCAGGTAGCTGGGATCACAGGCACCCATCACCATGCCCAGCTAATTTTTGTATTTTTAATGGAGACGGGGTTTCACCATGTTGCCCAGGCTGGTCTCAAACTCCTGAGCTCAGGCAATCTGCCCACATCGACCTCCCAAAGTGCTGAGATTACAGGCATCAGCCACCATGCCCAGCCCCATTTATCCCTCATTTTAATTTTTTTTAAATTTTTTTTTTCTTTTTTTGAGATGGAGTCTTGCTCTGTCACCCAGGCTGGAGTGCAGTGGCAGGATTTTGGCTCACTGCAACTTCGGCCTCTCAGGTTCAAGCAATTCTCCTGCCTCAGCCTCCCAAGTAGCTGGGACTACAGGTGCCCGCCACCATGCCCGGCTAATTTTTTGTATGTTTAGTAGAGATGGAGTTTCACCATGTTAGCCAGGATGGTCTCAATCTCCTGACCTCATGATCCACCTGCCTTAGCCTCCCAAAGTGCTGGGATTACAGCCATGAGCCACCTCGCCTGGACTATCCCTCACTTTATAACATTAATCAAGTTCTTTTATAATTTTATGTTAAAGATTTTTGAATTTTGTTAATCTATTTTATTTTCCTTCATAAAATGATCAAAGCTAGAAATAACATTACAAAGTATATCATAATCGTTAATAGAAAGAGCTCTATAATCAGCTTAAATTTCTTTTCTCTCTTTTCTAGTTATGTGATCTTAGGCAAGTTACATAAATTACCTGTGTTCAGTTTATTTATTTGTGAAATGGGGAAAATAAGGGTGCCTGTCTCTGGGTAAGATTGTAGTGAGGGTGAATAACAGATTTATCAAGCATAAAGCAGTGCCTGGGACACAGGAATTGCCCTCTCTGCATGCCCCTGCATATGTGTGCATACAGGCATGAATCACTTGATGATGGAATAAATTTGGAGAAATATATCTTTAGGCAGTTTTGTTATTGTGCAAATATCTCAGAGTGTACTTACACAAACATAGATGGGATAGCCTACTACTCTGCTAGAGTATATGATAGAGTATATGTAGCCTGTTGCTCCTAGGCTACAAATCTGTACAGCATGTTACTGTACTAAATACTGCAGGCAACTGTAACACAGTGGTAGGTATTTTGCATCTTATCATAGAAAAGTTGCAGTAAAAAAAAAAAAAAGGGTACACTTGTAGAGGGCACTTACCATGAATGGAGCTTGCAGAGCTGGAAGTTGCTCTGGGTAAGTGAGTGAGTGGTGAGTGAATATGAAGGCCTAGGACATTACGGGCACTGTTGTAGACTTTAGCAGTACTGGATGTACACTTAGACGCTATGCCAAATTTATTTTTAAATTGTTTTCTTTTATCAATAATAAATTAGCTTTAGCTTACTGTAATTTTTTTTATTTAATATACTTTTTTAACCTTTTGGCTCCTTTGTCACAACTCTTAGCTTAAAAGATAAACATATTGTACAACTTTTTAAAAAAATATTATTTTCTTTATATCTAAGTCTATAAGCTTTTTCCAATTTTTAATTTTTGTGTTACTTTTTAACTCTTTTATAAAAACAAACACAAACACGCACATTAGTTTAGGCCTATACAGGGTCAGGATCATCAACATCATTGTCTTCCACCTTCATATTCTGTCTCAATGGAAGTTCCTTGGGGCAATAACACACATGAAGCTGACATCTCCTATGATAACAATCCCTCCTTCTGGATACCTCCTGAAGGACCTGCCTGAAATTGCTCTACTGTTGTTTTCTTTTTCTTTTTTAATAAGTAGTACCCTCTCAAAACATGATAAAAAGGGCCAGGTGTGGTGGCTCAAACCTGTAATGCAAGCAATTTGGGAGGCTGAGGCGGGAGGATCACTTGAGGGTGGCAGTTCAAGAGCAGCCTAGCCAACATGGTGAAACCCTGTTTCTACTAAAAATACAAAAATTAGGCAGGTGCAGTGGTGGGCACCTGTAGTCCCAGTTACTTGGGAGGCTGAGGCAGAAAAATCACTTGAAACTGGGAGGTGGAGGTTGCAGTGAACCGACATCACACCATTGCAACTCCAGCCTGGGCAACAGAGGGAGACTCCATCTCAAAAAAAAAAAAAAAAAAAAAGATATAAAGAATAGAGTAGTAAATATATGAACCAGTAATATTATCACTTATTATCATTATCAGGTATTATGTTCTGTAAGTAATTATATGTGCTAGAGGCCTGTCAGCACAATAGGTCTGTTTTCACCAGCATCAGCACAGACATGTGAGTAATGAATTGTGCAATGATATTACATTGACAATGACATCACTAGGAAACAGGAATTTTTCAGCTCCATTAAAATCCTACAGGACCAATATGTGGTCCACCATTTACTGAAATGTATTGACATGGTGCATGACTGTAAAATTACTAGTATTCAAAAATCAGTTGTATCTTCAACATTTCCTACCTCTGCAGAATGCATCACCATTCTCCCAGTTACCCAGGCTTAAAACCTCAGAATTCTATCAAATTATTTCATTTCTTTACATCTCATGTTTAATTAGTCACTGATTCCCATCAATTTTCCCCTATCATGTTTAATAGTACCAACACATTATTTCTCTTAGAAAAATATTTTTCTAGTTTAGGCTCTTAATTTAGCCTATTTTTAAAATATCTCAAAGTTTGCCATACAGTCTTTATTTCTTATTTCTTAAAACATTTTCTACATTTTGATACAACTAAACTTTCTAAAGCATAAATATCTCACTTTGTCACTTGTCTGCTCAAAAAAAACATAAAAATATCTTCTTGGTCTAGAAAGTAAAATTATAATGCTTGGCATGATGCAGACAGAAATTCCCATTTCTCCTTTTTCTCCTTTGCCCCCACTATTTTCTTCCATGTTCACATCAGTACCTAATGTCCCAGACATATGGAATTCATTGTTTCATGAATAGAGCCAACACATTCTAACTACCATGCATTTAGTCAAACCATCTGGCCACCTGGAATTTCCTACCATCCCCCATAAAATTTAAGTTAAAAAATTCCACTGTTCTGTCCTCTCTGAAGATGTACCTGAACCTTTATTGAAACTCATTGACATATCCTTTGGTTCCCGCAGACTTTATTGTATATGTCATAATTTAGCACATACATTACTCTGCCATACATCTTAGTAAGTTAATGAACTGTCTCTTTTCACTGATAAAACAGTGTCAGGATTTTTTTCATTTTTGTATTCCCTACTGGTCCACAGAGTGCTATGAACATATAATGTGCTAAGTTAATTTTAAATTGACTTAAACTTACTGGTGAATTCATCGATTAACTGTTCTTTTCCAGTATTACTCTTAGAAATGTCCTTGCCTTGATATATTTTAAGTTCTAAAAAAATTAATTTCATTTTAAGAATCACATCCTCCAAAACAAAAGAAACAAAAGCTCCCATACAATTCTAATGCTACTTATAAGTAACATTAAAAATGGCATACCAAGTGTAAAAAACAAAAAAACAAACAAAAACAAACAAACAAACAAAAAAATTCCCATGAAAGCCAGAGGCAAACAATGCAAATTTTAATGTCAATATTGTCATTTTTTCCTAAGTTAGGGGTCAATATAACCACATTTATAAACTTGTTCTTTTTGTCTCTCCTCATGTTGACTTCACACATAGCATATTATGCCATTAAAACAACAAAAAAGGAGAAAATGCTATATTGAAATCCAGTATTTTCTGACAACAATTCCTTACTGTGAATTGTGAATGAAAATTAAATTCTTTAATCACTAGGAAAGACTCTGAGTGTGCGAGTGTTTCTTTCAGCTGATATAAACATTGATAAGATCAAAGCTTGCTCTGAATTATCTGTCTTACCAGGTCTTGACTGAATCTCAGAACAAAATCCTGTAGTTTCTCTTTATTTTGGAAAAACCTTTAATCTTTTAAAAATATAGACACAACTGGGGACAGTGGCTCAGGCCTGTAATGTCAGCAGTTTGGGAGGCCGAGGTGGGCAGATAACGAGATCTAGATATCAAAACCATCCTGTCCAACATGGTGAAACTCTGTCTCTACTAAAAATACAAAAATTAGCTGGGCATGGTGGTGCACATTTGTAGTCCCAGCTACTCAGGAGGCTGAGGCAGGAGAATCGCTTGAACCCAGGAGACTGAGGTTGCAGTGAGACGAGGATGTGCCATTGCACTCCAGCCTGGGTGACCAAGGGAAATTCCATCTCAAAAAAAAAAAAAATAGGCACATCTGGCTAAGGAAATGGCAAAAAGGCAAAAAGATATGCACAAAAAAAGTTAGCCACTACTTGCATTGAAAATGGGTTTAAGTTTAAGGTTTTGGCAAGTGTTTGAGAAAAATATGGATTAAGCTCATTTTCTGTGGAGACAAGTCTCTATGCATTTAGTGTTGGTTAAGGTAAATACTTAAATCTATTTAAAATTTTAAAGACCTTAGTAATGTAAACAAATGTTGTTGAGTTTGGACTTCTCTACAATATCTATGTGGAATCTTAGGAAAGGAAGAGTGAAAGGATACAATATATTTTAAATGGTAGTTCAGCCTAAATCCTAAGCATAAGCATAATACACTGCTGCATTTCTTTTTTTTTTTTTTAACAGAGCCTAACTCTGTCCCCCAGACTGAAATGCAGTGGTGCCATCTTGACTCACTGCAACCTCAGTCTCCTAGATTCAAGCTATTCTCCTGCCTCAGCCTTCTGAGTATTTGGGATCACAGGCAGGCACCAGCCACACCCGGCTTTTTTTTTTTGTTTTTGTCTTTTTTCTTTTTTTGAAGACAGAGTCTTGCTCTATCGCCCAGGCTGGAGTACAATGGCACAACCTCGGCTCACTGCAACCTCCGCTTCCCAGGTTCAAGTGATTCTCCTGCCTCAGCCTCCTGAGTAGTTGGGATTACAGGCACGTGCCACCATGCCCGGCTATCCACCTCCCAGGTTCAAGCAATTCTTCTGCCTAAGCCTCTTGAGTAGCTGAGATTACAGGCATGTGCCACCATGCCTGGCTAATTTTTGTATTTTTAGTAGAGACAGGGTTTCACCACGTTGATCAGGCTGGTCTTGAACTCCTGACCTCCTGATCTACCCGCCTCAGCCTCCCAAAGTGCTGGAATTATAGGCATGAACCAAGGTGCCCAGCCCATTTTTTTGTATTTTTAATAGAGGTGAGGTTTCACCATGTTGACCAGGCTGATCTTGAACTCCTGACCTCAAGTGATCTGCCCGCCTCCACCTGCCAAAATGCTGGGATTACAGACATGAGCCACTATGCCTAGCCAATATGTTACTTTAAAAAAATATGTTATTCGTTTTAGTTTTCTTCTGTTGCTAATGATCATTTCTATTTTGTAGGGAAAAGGAAGAGAGATCAGACTGTTATTTGTCTATGTAGAAAGGGAAGACATAAGAAATTCCATTTTGACCTATACTTTGAACAATTGCTTTGCCCTGAGATGCTGTTAATCTGTAACTATGCCCCAATCACTTTGCCCCAACCTCTTTGCCCCCACCTTGAGATCACAAAAACATGTGTTGTATGGAATCAAGATTTAAGGGATCTAGGGCTGTGCAGGATGTGCCTTGTTAACAAAATGTTTACAAGCAGTATGCTTGGTAAAAGTCATCGCCATTCTCTAGTCTCGATAAACCAGGGGCACAATGCACTGCAGAAAGCCGCAGGGACCTCTGCCCTGGAAAGCCGGGTATTGTCCAAGTTTTCTCCCCATGTGATAGTCTGAAATATGGCCTCATGGGATGAGAAAGACCTGACCATCCCCCAGCCCAACACCCGTAAAGGGTCTGTGCTGAGGTGGATTAGTAAAACAGGAAAGCCTCTTGCAGTTGAGATAGAGGAAGGCCGCTGTCTCCTGTCTGCCCCAGGGAACTGAATGTCTCAGTATAATACCCGATTTTACATTTGTTCAATTCTGAGATAGGAGAAAAACCACCCTATGGCGGGAGGCAAGACATGTTGGCAGCAATGCTGCTTTATTGTTCTTTACTCCACTGAGATGTTTGGGCAGAGAAACATAAATCTGGCCTACGTGCACATCCAGGCATAGTACCTCCCCTTGAACTTAATTATGACACAGATTCTTCTGCTCACATGTTTTTTTGCTGACCTTCTCCCTGTTATCACCCTGCTCTCCTACCGCATTCCTCTTGCTGAGATAATGAAAATAATATTCAATAAAAACTGAGGGAGCTCAGAGTCTGGTGCTGGTGCACATCCTTGGTATGCTGAGTGCCAGTCCCCTGGGCCCACTTTTCTTTCTCTAAACTTTGACTCTGTGTCTTATTTCTTTTCTCAGTCTCTCATCCCACCTGACTAGAAATACCCACAGATGTGGAGGGGCTGGCCACCCCTTCATATTTTCACTTAATTTACTCTGAATCCATGCCACTTTTGCATTTGGGGCTAATGTTTGTATTGCAGGAAAGGATAGCAAGTCAATTTACAATTGGATTTTTTCAATGTAGAGAGTTACATGTTAACTAAAAGGAGTAGCCCTTAATTCTTTTTAAAAAGCCCATAGCAAGCAAGATGATTAACAATTTTTATGTGAACAGATGTCTTAAAATATTTTAAACATCTAGAGAACACTGATACCATCTTCACTTCCAAAGAGATAGAAGTTACTTCTTTTGACTTAGATCTGACTTCTTAAACTGTCAAATGAAGTGGCTGAGTATAACTCACCACCCACAACTTTGATATTTAGCCGCCTCTCTTCATTTGCTTTGTATTATATGTACTGTAGCCCTTACTTTAATATTTCTATATCTTACACATCTTTCTTTCTTAAAAATGTGCTTTCATTTAGAGGAGAAATACAATTTTAAGGGAGAAGTTGATGCAAGCCTAGTTCTGTCTTTTTTTTTAATTGCTGATCTGTCCTGAGGAAATTAATGTCACCCTACTGGGTATGATGCTGTCCCTCTGGAGAGATTCCTGCAAGTTATGACCACTGGGGATTTTATAGATGTCCACATTAAGCCTTTCACTGAGAGTAGAGATTAACTTGCAGTTGCCTCTCTGACACAAATATATCTAAGAAATCAACATAATCTTTCAAAACCCTTCTGGCTAATAATAGTTTGTAGCCACTATTAATATAGTGGTTCTAAGTTTGTTCCAGGGTCTCAAAGCCTTAAATCATTTCATGAAAGCCTACTGCAAATGTCAACATATAATGCTTACAAGGACATAACTGGGTGTTTCACATTATTATTTTAGTTTTAACCCACTTGATCCATCAAGTTATCTGTCACAGAACAAATTAAAGGCCCCTTTAGAGAAGTATCAGGATAAAAAATAGGCCTAGTTATGTTCATTGGGAGAGGAGCAAATAAAGCATAGGCTTACATTCTCTGTCTATAAGAAATTGTCATTGTAACTGTTCTTTGTTTCAAAATCTATGTACAGTTCTGATGCACCAATTGACAATGGCTGCCTGACTCTAACACTCAGATGTATTACTGTAAATTCCCTGTCTTCTTTATAGCAAGAGAAAAAATCAGGACATTCTGAAAGTAATACACTGGATATTTGCATGGCCAGAGTATAATTTTCTCTGCTTAATAATAAAACTGAATAATGAGCTTAATAATAAAACTCTTATACAAATACAAAATAAACCTCTCTCAAAATTTATTTCACTTATTCCTGAGGAAATCAGTAGGTGGGAAAGCTGGTTCCAAGAACAAGCAAAAAAAAAGTAATTACAGATTTTTTTCCCCAAAACAAGAAATGTTAGAATAAGACAACTATGTTAGAAGCAAAACTGGGCCAGGAGCGGTGGCTCACAGCTGTAATCCCAGCACTTTGGGAGGCTGAGGTGGGCAGATCACAAGGTCAGGAAATCGAGGCCATCCTGACTAACACGGTGAAACCCGGTCTCTACTAAAAATACAAAACCAAAATTAGCCGGGCGTGGTGGCCTGTAGTCCCAGATACTCAGGACGCTGAGGTAGGAGAATGGCATGAACCCAGGAGGCGGAGCTTGCAGTGATCCAATATTGCACCACTGCACTCCAGCCTGGGTGACAGAGTGAAACTCCATCTCAAAAAAAAAAAAAAAAGAAGCAAAATTGATTAATAACAACAAAGAGTACTGGGAAAATTGGATATCCACAGGCAAAATATAAAGTTTGGGCCCTTAACTTACATAATATACAAAAATAAACTAAAATAGATCAAAGACTTAAAAGTAACACCTACAACCCTTAAACTCTTAGAAAAAAATAGGAGAAAATTTTCTTTATGTTAGATTTAGCAATGATTTCTTAGATGTGACATCAAAGGTACAGGGAATGAAGAAAATAACAAAGAAATTAGTTTCATCAAAAGTAAAAGTTCTGTGCATTAAAAGTCACGGGTGGCCAGGTGTGGTGGCTCACGCCTGTAACCCCAGCACTTTGGGAGGCTGAGGCGGGTGGATCACAAGGTCTGGAGTTCGAGATCAGCCTGGCCAATATGGTGAAACCCCATTTCTACTAAAAATACAAAAATTAGCTGGGCATGGTGGTGTGCACCTGTAATCCCAGCTACTTGGGAGGCTGAGGCAAAAGAATCACTTGAAGCTGGGAGGCAGAGGTTGCAGTGAGCTGAGATTGTGCCACTGCACTTCAGCCTGGACCACAGAGCGAGACTCCGTCTCAAAAAAAAAAAAATAGTCACCCTCAGGACAGTGGAACAACAACTCAAAGAATGGGAGAAGATGTCTGCAAATCACATATGTGATATGACATTGGTATATGTGGATATAATATGTATAATAGAATAAAGAACTCCAGCAACTCAACAACAACAAATAATTGATGGTTCAATGTTTTAAATAGGCAAAGGACTTGAATAGATAATTATCTAAAGAAGATGTACGAATGGCCAACAAGCACATGAAAAGAGGCTCAATATCACTAGCATTAGAAAAACAAAAATAAAACTAATGATGAGATATCAATTCACACCTATTAGGATGATTACAAAAAAGAAACCCCAGAAAATAACAAGTGTTAGTGAGGATTTAGAGTCAATGGGAACCCTTGTGCATTGCTGGTGGGAATGTAAAATGGTTTAGCTTCAGTGGACAACAGTTAGGTGGCTCCTCAAAGGTTAAACATAGAACTACTATGTGATCCAGCAATTCTATGCCTATATACATGCCCAAAGTAGTTGCAAATAGAGACTCCAACAGATATTGACCACCAATGTTCACAGTACCATGATTTACAGTAACCAAAAGCAGGAAGCAACTCAAATGCTCATCAATAAATGAAAGAATAAACAGAATATACCATATTCACATAATGGAAACTTATTCAGCCTTATTAAGGAATGAAATTCTAATATACACTACAGAATTTCAATGACTACAACATATGTAAACTTTGAAAACATTATGCTTAGTGAAATAAGCCAGACACAAAAAGATAAATATTGCTTGAAGTACTTAGAATAAGCAAATCGTAGAGACAGAAAGAATAATCATTACCATGGACTACTGTGGGTGAGAAGTTATTGTTTAATGGGTACAGAGTTTCTATATGGGATGATTAAAGAGTTCTGGAAATAGATGGTGGTAAAGGTTGTGCAATTTGGTGAATGTAATACCCTCTGAACTGTTCATTTAAAATTCATTAAAGTGATAAATTTTACAGTATGTGTATTTTACCACAATTTTAAAAAGAAAATTAAAAGAAAAAAGGATGTATTCCCAATTGCACTGTATTTTTGGGTATTAAGCATAAAATTTAAACTTTATTAAACTTATTAGAAAAAGGGAATTGGAAATGTGATATAATGCAGTAATTCACAAAAAATGTGTACAGTAAATGCACTCAAGAGCAGTTTTTCTGAGGCTTGATAAACTCCTATCAGTTATGAATTAAAACTGGTAAATATCCTTCATGGAAACAGATCCATAAAGTCTGGCATTGTCTTTTTCTACTAGAGAGAAACCTACAAGTTATTACATAATCGCATAGTGTCTAGGATCAAATCAACTAATACATGGCCAAATCAAAAGAAAATGAAGTAATCTTTGGGTTAACCTTTTAGAGGATAGCTTTTAATAATGTAATATTACACTAAAAATACACGTCTTATGTAAGAGTTTTAGATACTCTTCCTTAGCATTCCTTATCACAAATATGTCCTCTGTTAGTGCTAATCCATAACTATCTCAGTTCCTTATTTTCATGTCAATAATCTCCAAGTGTTATTCTTTTTTTTTTTTTTCTTGAGACAGAGTCTGGCTCTGTCTCCCAGGCTGGAGTGCAGTGGTATGATCTCGGCTCACTACAGGCTCCGCCTCTGGGTTCACGCCATTCTCCTGCCTCAGCCTCCAGAGTAGGTGGGACTATAGGCGCCCGCCACCATGCCCGGCTAATTTTTTGTATTTTTAGTAGAGATGGGGTTTCACCATGTTGGGCAGGATGGTCTCGATCTCCTGACCACGTGATCCACCCACCTCAGCCTCCCAAAATGCTGGAATTACAGGCGTGACCCACCGGCTCGGCCTCCAAGTGTTATTCTTAATCAAAAAAAGAAAAAGTTTATCTGACTATATTTGACCCTGATTATTTATGTAGCTTCAGAAAGAGGAGTTAAACAAATAGGTGAAGTCTTCCCTCCACCAGGTTCTAAAATGTAAGATTCATGGCCTTCTGAAAACACTCCCTTACCAATGTGAGGCTGGAACCATAGAACAGGTGGAGGACTTAGTAGGTATTGGCTCAACATTTAAAGTACAATCTTGTTCCTTAATAGGTGTTTTCATACCTTATAAACACATGTATGGCCTTGGATGTCCAATTAAATCCCAGGAAAAAAGGACAGATTCTTGATGAAACTATGCAAATAATGAGACAGCAAGTAAAAACGGCTCCCCGGCAGAACCTCCGACCGGCTTGCACACTGGCAGGAGTGCACACTGAGGTGGAGCCTCTGGAAGTTTGCAGCGGGGAGGAGCCTGGCCTCTTCTGTTCCAGGGCGGAGGCTGGGATTCAATCTATGAGGCAGGAAGCTGGGTAGCAGGACTCACTTTACTGACAGTCTCTGTTTCCCCTTTTTTCCCATTCGCCAATAAATTCCATTTTTCGCACCCTTCAAAGCGTCTGTGAGCCTAATATTTCATGGCTGTGTGACAAGAATACAGCTTTTAGCTGAACTAAGGAGAAAGTCCTACAATAATAATATGTTGTCCTACAAGCATGCAGAGTAAGTACAAATATATTGTTCTGAATTCTCAGAGAAAAATATAAATTAGACAGTGTTTGAATGATGTATTTCACTTACAAGGTGTTGTATATAAAATTGAGGATCAGAGATAGAAAAAGAAACTGTGTAATTAATACTCCTTCTACTGGATGTTGAGTCAGTTTTTTGCTTTGATAAAATTATCTACCAATGAGGCAAAAAGATATATCCTTAAAACAATGAGATTTAAAAGTAAGTTGTTATGCTCAGTACTTTATAGGAGAACATTCAAGTAAGTGTCAGAGGAAAACAAAAACCACCTAGAGATGCAACTAAATGGCTATTTAATTGATATAGTAAACAATAATATAAAAATGGAGAAGAATAAAATTCTGCATTAGGTTCAATACTATCTCATAAAGACTTGACCAATGTTTCACCTGGGGGCATACACCTCTCCAATTTCCTATTACAGTCTCTAATCTATTAGTTAAATGTATACAGTTCCTAAACCATTCACCTCTTTTTTTTTTTTTTTTTTTTTTTTGAGACAGAGTATCCCTGTGTCACCAGGCTGGAGTGCAGTGGTGTGATCTTGGCTCACTGCAACCTCTGCCTCCTGGGTTCAAGTGATTCTCCTGCCTCAGCCTCCTGAATAGATGAGACTACAGGCATGCACCACGATGCCCAGCTAGTTTTTGTATTTTTAGTAGAGATGGGGTTTCACCATGTTGGCCATGATGGTCTCCATCTCTTGACCTGATCTGCCCATCTCAGCCTCCCAAAGTGCTGGGATTAGAGGCGTGAGCCAACGCACCCCACCACCATTCATCTTAATATGTAAGATTATGTAAAATGAACTGAGAAAGCTGAGCCCTTTAGAATTGTCCTCATGGAACTCAAGCAGATGTGTGGAACTAATGAAGAAATATGGGGCACACCAAAGAAGTCCAATTTATTTTAGCCTCACTCATTTTATAAGGCAAAAATTGTCACAGTTTTTCTAGAGGTCACCTAGGAAATCTAAAAAATACTTATTTTTCGCTAAAAATCAGAAAACATTTACTTTTTGGAATTTAAGATATAATTTCAGATGGGCAAAAATTAAGTGTTATCAGAGGAGATTTGGTCACTGTGATAAAGACAGGAATACAGGTGCAGAGAAGAAAATGGTGGCAATAATCCCAATAACAATACAATATTCTAAAATAAGCATAGGAAAACATATCATAATTGTTAGAAAATGTATCCCTTCCATAATTATGCTGTATAAATTTTTTTCTTATTTTTCTTTCTAGCTTCATTGAAGTATGATTGATAAATAAAAATTGTACATATTTAAGTTATATAATATGATGTGATGTGATGTTTGTATACATTGTGAAATAATAGCCACAGTCAATTAACATTTTCATCAACTTACAAAGTTAGACTTTCTCTGTGTGTGTCTATGTGTGCTTGTATGGAAATACGTATTCCTACCCTGTTAGCAAAATTCAAGTATACAATACATTCTTATCAGCTGTAACTACTATGCTACATATGTTAGGTATCCAGAATTTATTCATCTTTTAACTAAAAGCATATCCCCATTTTTCCTACCTTCTAATCCCTAACATCTAATGAGTTTAAATTTTTTAGATTTCACAGATAAGTGAGATTATGCAGTATATTTGTCTTTCTGTGTCTCGCTTATTTTACTTAGCATTAAGTTCTCTCAGTCCATCAATGTTATCACAGATTTTAGGATTTCCTTCTTTTCTCAGGATGAATAATATTCCATTGTATGTATATGCCACACTTTCTTTATCCACTAATCTGTAATAAAGGCTATATCTAAAATACACAAGAAACCCTTCAAATTTCACAAGAAAGCAAACAATTCAGTTAAAAATGGGGAAACAATATAAATGGATAAGCCACCAAAGGAAATATAAAAATGGCAAATAAGTATTTGAAAATATATTCAACAGCATATGACTTTAGGGGGATAAAGCAATTCTATATATTGAAATTTCCTTTTAAAAAGAAAGCAAATAGAAAACTTTCTCAGAAAAACAAAATTTAAGTGATTGTCAGCTGACCTGTCTTGCAAGAAATACTAAAGGAAGTTCTTCAAGGGGAGAGAAAATGATGCAAGTGAGAAATTCATATACACAATAAAGAAATAAATGAAAAAGAATAAATTAAAGTTAAAAACTTTTTTTATTCTTATTGATCCATAAGATAACTGTTTAGTAACAAAAAATGGGTAATTATAGAATGAGGATAGATGAAATGAACAATAGCAATGTCATAAGGTACAGGAGGTACAATCTGGTGGTATTTTTATGAGATACCTACACTACATGTGAAGTAACAATTTTATTTGAAGATAGAACTAAAATGTATATAATCAATTCTAATTAATTTAAAGATAGACTTAAAATGCATATAATCAATTCTAAGAAAACCACTACAAGTTTTTAAAAGAAAAGTGATGAGATCACATCTCATGAGGTGATGAGACAAAAATGCAATCATAGAAGATGCTCAATTAAAATAAGAGGAGGCAGGTCAGGCACGGTGGCTCATGCCAGTAATCCCAGCACTTTGGGATGCCAAGGTGGGTGGACCACCTGAGGCCAGCCTGACCAACATGATGAAACACCATCTCTATTAAAAATATCAAAGTTAGCTGGGTGTTGTGGCACACATCTGTAATCCCAGCTACTCTGGGCTGAGGTGGGAGAGTCACTTTAACCTGGGATGTGGAGGTTGCAGTGTGCCAAGACCACCACTGCACTCCAGCCTGGTTGACAGAGTGAGGCTCTATCTCAAAATAAAATAAAATGAAATAAAAATAAATGAATATAATTAATGTTTATATTCTACTTCAACAAAAGTAGAATGCACATTCTTCTCTAGTTTGTACAAGACACACTGCATTATGGGCCATAAACGTCTTAAAATTTTTCAAAGAACAAAGTTCATACAAAGTACACACCGAGACCACAATAAAAATTAAAGTAGAAATAAATAGCAGGAAGAACTGAAAAATTTTTCAAATATTTGAAGACTTAACAAAACATCTAAGTGCATCCCAAAAGAAGACTAAAGAGTAATTAAAATATTTGGAATTAAATGGAAATGGAATCACAACTTATTAAAATATATGAGATACAGTAGAACTAGTACCTAAATTTATAGCATTAAATATATATTATTATGAAAAAAGAGATAAAATCAATAAGCTTCTGCCTTAAGAAACTAGAAAAAGAAAATCCAAAGTAAGTAACAAGGGAAAAAATATATAAAGTATAGCAGATATCAGTAAAATAGAAAGCAGGAAAACAATAGAGAAAATCAATGAAACAGAAAGCTGTTTCTTTGAAAAGATCCATAAACTTGCTAACATTTAGACAAACTAATAAAGAAAAAAAGAGAGAATGCACAACTTACAAATATTGGAAGTGAAAGAGGGGTATGGGTTATGACTACTGATTTTGTGGACATTAAAAGGATAATATATTTACTATATTAAAAACTCTATACTCACAAGTTCAATAGCCTATATAAAATGGACAAATACCTTGAAAGACACAATATGCCAATACTCACAAAAGAAAAAATAGATAGCATGAGTACTTTTATAGCTATAAAAGGAATTGAATAAATAGTTAATAACCTGCCCCCCCACCAATGGTTCCAGGCCCAAATGGCTTTAGTAGTGAATTCTATCAAGCATTTAAAGGAGAAATTATACCAATTTTCCACAGACTTTTCAAGAAAATGGAATTAGAGAGAACACTTCCTAACTTATTCTATGAGGTAAATATTACCCTCTTACCAAATCCAATAGACATAACATGAAATAAAATCAATACATCAGTATCTCTCATGAACAAAGATCCAATAATCCTTCACAAAATAGTAGACAATTGAATCTAACTATGTATTTATTCTAGGTAAGACTGTATGCAAGACTGATTCAATATTGGAAAATTATCTGCAGAATTTCCTAAATCTGCAGGAAGAAAAATCATGTGACTGTATCAACTGATGTAGAAAAAGCTTATGGCAAAATCTATCACCCATCTATAATTTGAGAAACTCTCAGAAAACTAGGAATTGAGGTGAATTTTCTTAACTTGACAAAGAACATCTACCAAACCCCTAAAATTATCATACTTAATGATGAGAAATGGGATGCTTTTTCCCAAAAACCAGGAGCAAGAAGAATTTTGTTTTTTGTTTTTTTTCTTTCACCACTTGCAAAATGAAACCACCACTTTGGAAGACAGATGGACAATTTCTTATGCCCATAGTTGCTATACTATATGTAAAAAAAAAAGTCTTACATATAATATAGCAATTGTGGTTTTTTTGTTTGTTTTGAGATAGTCTTGCTCTGTCACCCAGGCTGGAGTGCAATGGTGCAATAGAAGGATACTGCAACCTTCACCTCCTGGGTTCAAACAATTCTCCTGCCTTAGCCTCCAGAGTAGCTGGAACTACAGGCACCTACCACCATGCCTGGCTAATTTTTTTTTTTTTTTGTATTTTACTAGAGACAGTATAACCTGTTGATTTGGGAAATTTTACCATGTGGCCCAGGCTGGTGTCCAACTCCTGAGCTCAGGCAATGCGACCGCCTCAACCTCCCAAAGTGCTAGGATTACAGGCGTGAGCCACCGCGCCTGGCTGCAAATGTGTTTTTAGGTGTTTATCCACCTTATTTGAAAACTATGTCCACACCAAAACTGGCACATGAATATAAATATAGCAGTTTGTTTATAATTCCCGAAACTGGAAGAAACCAAGAGGTCTCATAATTGATGACTGGAAAAAAAAAAAAACAGCACTGTGATACGTCTTATAAGGGAATATTACTTCCTAACAAAGTAAATGATCTGGCAAAAGATTCAGTGAGGAGGTTTAATAGGTGAAGCACGTGGGCATTATTTAGACCAGTCAAAGTATTCTGTATGATACCACAACTGTGGAAACATGAGAGTATGAAATTGCGTTTGTTTGTTTTTTTTGTTTTGTTTTGTTTTGTTTTGTTTTTTGAGACGGAGTCTGCTCTGTCACCCAGGCTGGAGTGCACTGGCACGATCTCGGCTCACTAAAAGCTCCGCAACCCGGGTTCACGCCATTCTCCCGCCTCAACCTCCCAAGTAGCTGGGATTACAGGTGGCTGCCACCACGCCCGGCTAATTTTGTTTTTGTATTTTTAGTAGAGACGGGGTTTCACCGTGTAGCCAGGATGGTCTCCATCTCCTGACCTCGTGATCTGCCCGCCTCAGCTTCCCAAAGTGCTGGAATTACAGGCGTGAGCCACCACACCCGGCCTGCATTTGTTAAAAAACAAAGAATCTCACAGCACAAAGAGTGTCACTTAATATATGCAAATTTTAAAACAACAACAACAACAAAGTAGGTGTTCTGGGGATCCTGGGATGGAATGCAGAATGTCATAAAAAATCTGAAGTACTACAAATGTATAGAGCCACTTCACTCTAGGGAGTGGGAAAAACGTGCTGACATAAGCATCTTAGAAAATGGATGAGCCTTCCGTGGTGGCTCACACCTGTAATCCCAGCACTTTAGGAGGCCAAGGTGGCAGATCACCTGAGGCTGGGAGTTTGAGATCAGCCTGGCCAAAATGGTGAAACCCCGTCTCTACTAAAAAGACAAAAATTAGCTGGGCATGATGGCAGGTGCCTGTAATCCCAGCTACTCAGGAGGCTGAGGCAGGAGAATCGCTTGAACCTGGGAGGTAAAGGTTGCAGTGAGCTGAGATCACGCCACTGCACTCCAGCCTCAGCCTGGGCAAGAAGAGCAAAACTCCATCTCAAAAAAAAAAAAAAAAAAAAAAGAAAGAAACAAAGAAAATGCATGAAGACTGAAAGGAAGAGAAACTGCAAACAACTCACGTGATCTGTTTGGTATAGCTGTTTCCTACAGGAAATGGGATAGCGATTCTGAGATTGATAGAGAATAAATGTATATTGGAACTAGACAGTTAAGCAAACGGATGACAAATGACAGGAGCCTGGTTTCTCACTATTAAAGTGGGAGGTTACATGTAAGCAAGGGGAGAAGGCCGGAATGATCATGTGATAAAAGAATTGAGTCATAGACATCAGTATGAACTAACACACACATTACATTTAGAAATATTTATAGTTATGTCTATACACAGCTTTGTATACACACATTTATTTCTTTGCTCTGTAAGCTAAGACAGTGTAGAACCAATGATATCCCAGTAGAAATGAGCATATCTAACACTCAAGTCTTCAATTCTTGGGTTTTTGTTCATGACCCGGGATCCAGGAGTTGGGCCCTGGGGCTGGGCATTGTGTAGCCTCCGGGATGGTGCTGAGCATCCATTCCCACTCTCCTGCAGCTGGAGACCCATCCCTTGACTTGCGCCCCCTGGAGGCAAGAACATGGTCACCCACTTTAATCACATGGTCCCTATCACATAACCAGAGGGCGCTGTGGGTTTTAACTCTTCAAGCTTGATGTGTAAAGAATTCGACATAGATATGATATAGTGACTAGAAGTCTTTTATTTATTTATTTTGAGAGAGAGAGTCTCTGTTGCCCAGGCTTGGAGTGCAGCAGCACAAACAAACAATAACCAAAATCCAGAAGACTGAAAAAGTCAAATGCTGTCAAGGATGTGGAGCAACAGGACCTTTCATTCCTTGTTTGTGGCACAATCAGTTTACTGTACCCAGGAACTCCCGGGTCCAAGTGATCCTCCCACAACCAATCTCCCAAGTAGCTGGGGCCACAGGCATGCACCACCATGCCTGGCTGACTGGTTTTATTTTTATAGAGATGAAGTTTCCCTGTGTTGTCTAAGCTGGTCTCAAACTCCTGGGATCAAATGATCGTCCTATCATCTCGGTCTCCCAAAGTGCTGTAAGTACAGGCATGAGGTCCTGCACCCAGCCTGGAAGTCTTTATAGATAAGTTCAATTTAACTGTTTCTCCATCTGCTCTACTCAGCCAAGTTTACCTCTCAGTCCAAGGGAGAGAACTGCAGCTCAGCCCCATCCAGGATGGCTGCAGATTACCCAGCGCCACCGCCATATTCCAGATGCTGGTCAACGAGGAAGGGATCCTGAGGCCTGGCAGCTGGCGCTCTCAGCAATCTTGAAGCCCTCTAAATGGGACCCGCCATCCGTGCCTGTCAGAACTGTAGCCACTACCTGCACTTGGCACACAGGCAAATATGGCCAAGCAACCCCAAACTCCCCTCTTCTCCTCTGGGCCCAGGCAGCGCTGAACCTGCCACTCAGCCCCATACTGGCGACTGCACAGTCCCCAGAGTCTGCAAACCAGCGCTCAGGGCGCGAGCCAAGGAAGAGCAGGGCCTAGAGTGGGAGGGCGTGTGCCACACGGCGACCCTCAGGCCGTCGGGCCCAGCCCTGCAGCCTCTACTGTGGGCTCAGCTGCAGCTGGCATTTGAAGGTGGCAGCAGCGGTGGCAACCCCAGAACCTGTCCGTGCCACCAGCAGGTGAACCCCAGGGTCGGACACCGCCACTGCGCCTAAGTCAGGCAGTGGGACCTCAGTTGCAGGAGGGTGGGAACCTGCCGCAAAGCCTCATGGCCACAGCTCTACAGGGCCCAGTGGTGGCGAACCTGCGCTGCCAGCGCGAGCCGAGGAAGAGCAGAGCCCTGGGTGGAAGGGCGATGTACTCGGCGATGCTCAGTGGTCTGGGCCCAGCCCTGTAGCCTCTACCATGGGCTCAGCTGCAACTGCCACCTGAACATGGCACGTGGCAGCAGAGGCTGCAACCCCGACCCTGCCAGCGCCACCAGCAGCGTGGATACTTGGGCCAGAAGCCTCCAGGGCGCCTAAGTCAGGGGTTGGGTCCTGGCTGCAGGAGGGCGGGAACCGATGCTCAGCGCCACCCCAGAGGCTGCACGATGCCCGGCTCCAGGGCCCAGCTCCTGGATCTCAGGTTGAAGAGGGGCCAGGGGCGGCTCTGCCAAGCAGGCCATGTGGCAGGGAGTCCCCCACCTTCCGCTCCAGGGAGCCTCGCCAGCCCGACAGCGCCTCAGTGGCAGGTGCCACCTGCACGCGGTGCTGGGCGAAGCGCAGTCAGGGCCGTTTCCCGCCTCGCGTGTCTCCCCGGTCTGCTGAGTTGCGCATGCGCTGTTTCCTAATGGTTCTGCTCAGCTGCCTAATGGTTTTGCACAGCCCTTTTCTCCCAGGTGAGGCTGGAGTGTCCAAAAGCTTGGCCCGACTGAGATTTCTACTGGTGTCAGGGCGGGTGCGGGGACTGAAGAAGGGCAAGGGCGAGCGGCGGGGACCTGGAAAGGGCAAGCAGCGGGAGGTGCGGGCGCTCTCTAGCAGGTGGCTGCAGCCATGGAGAGGCTCTCTGCCGCCGCTGTCAAGGGCCAGACGGGCCTGGAGTGCCCGAGCCCCTTCAGTCAGCTGGTCTACACCAATAATGACTCTTAAGTGATTCACCATGGGGATCTCAGGAAGATCCACAAAGCTGCCTCCCGGGGCCAAGCCTGGAAGCTGGAGAGGATGATGAAGAAAACGACAATGGACCCGAACATAAGAGATGCGAAGAAGAGGTACCAGACAGTGCCTGAGCCGGGGCTGCAGGAGGAGGAGGCGGCTGTGGGAGGATCTCCCATTCAGAGTGGGGGCTGGGGGTCCTGGGGACGAGGGGAGCAGGTGGAGGAGTGGCGGGCAGCGGGGCGGCCGTCCTGAGCCCTGAGGTCTTGACCTTCTTCCCGGGCAGGCCCCCCAGGCCTTGGATGGGGGCGCCCTGCAGGGCGGAGGGCCCAGGCCACCTTAAAATCAACCCCAAACTTTAGTTAGCTGCTTTCTCCTTCACTCCCACTTCCTCTCACAGAGCACTGTGTAGAGTATTTTAAAGTGATTTAACTTACAAATTTAAGTACATACAGGGTTTTACTTTTAATGTACAGGTTTTAAAAGATAATGTTAGATACATTATGAAATGGTGCGTAATGAAATAATTCCCATAATATATTAACTTCTTGGCTAAAAATTTTTTGGATAAAGTCCAGTATCCATTTCAATATCAATGAATGCCTACGTAAATATGTTCTTTGCTGAGGGACCTTAGAAGGTAACTTTGAGGTGGGAAGATGGTTTATGTTTTCGAATTTAAGAAGACTCATTTTTCTCAAGATGCAAGCTCTTCATCAGTTTTACATAAACCAAACAAAGTTATCAACATTTTAACATTTTTAAAATTACACACGCTGTCTTTTACTATTGTGATGACATTTAAAAAATTTTGTAACGGAGTAGAAAAGTCTTGCCCTTCTAGATTTCAAAATGTGCTATTAATTTGCACAAAATGGGCCACGGCCAGGCGCGGTGGATCATGCCTCTAATCCGAGCACTTTGGGAGGCCGAGGTGGGTGGATCACGAGGTCAGGAGATGGAGACCATCCTGGCTAACACAGCCTCTACTAAAAATACAAAAAATTAGCCGGGTGTGGTAGTGGGCGCTGTAGTCCCAGCTACTTGGGAGGCTGAGGCACGAGAAAGGTGTGAACCCGGGAGGTGGAGCTTGGAGTGACCCGAGATCGCACCACTGCACTCCAGCCTGGGTGACAGAGCGAGACTCTGTTTCAAAATAATCATAATAAATAAATAAATAAATAAATAAATAAATAAATAAAATAAATAAAATTTGAAAAAAAAAAAGCCAGGCGTGGTAGCTCATGCCTGTAGTCCCAGCATTTCGGGCGGCCAAAGCGGGTGGATCACCTGAGGTCAGGAGTTCAAGACTAGCCTGGCCAATATGGTGAAACCCCAACTCTACAAAAATACAAAAATTAGCCAGGCACAATGTCGGGAGCCTGTAATCCCATCTACTCGGGAGACTGAGGAGGGAGAATCCCTTGAAACTGGGAGGTGGAGGTTGCAGTGAGCTGAGATTCCATCACTGCACTCCAGCCTGGGCGACAGAGTGAGACTCTGTCTCAAAAATAAATAAATAAATCACAAATTATTTGATAACAGCTGAAAAGACAGGTAAATGAATACAACAGAATAGAAAATCCAGAAACACCCAAATATCTAAGAATTTAGAACTTTATACTAGTAGGGAAAGAATTAGTTTCATAAGCGAAATGCCTACTTTTTGGAGAAAACTAGATTTTTATACCACAAGGTAAATTTCTGACGGAATACAGATTAAATTTTTTTAATATACAAAATGATAAAAGCACCAGAAGAAAATATAAATACTGATTTACACAGGTACATTTTTATGTTGACAACACCTTTCTAAGAAGCTCAGAAGCAAGCAATCTGAAGGACAATTAAGCAAAACAAAATTAAATTAACCTGTAATGAGAAAAAATAAAAGGCAGCATACTTGTAAAATGTTTACTGCACATGTATGTGCGTGTGTATATATATATTAGATTTAAAAATCGTCATTTTATAGATAATTCACTTAAATCAACAAAAAACCCTCTAATTTAAAATTGAGCAATTTAAATTAGAGATCTAAATTGCAGATCTAAAAATAGTACTTCGCTTCTAATTTAAAATTGGGAAAGTATTTTCTTAAGATCTGTAAGTGACCTATGCACATAGAAAACAATATTTAGCTTTCCTGGTTAGAGAAGGTATTTAAGTTAAAAGAGGAATCAAATACTGTTTTCTATCTACAAAATTTGTGAGGAAAAAGAGCAGTGATATTTATAATGCTATTTAAAGTTTAAGTTGCAGATAACTTTTCAAGTAGACAATTTGGTGGTAAGTACCATATTATTAAGAAGAATCCACATAATGGCTTTTATAAATACACTTCAGTGAATTT
The DNA here is from genome assembly GCF_000001405.40 of Homo sapiens. NCBI lineage: Eukaryota > Metazoa > Chordata > Mammalia > Primates > Hominidae > Homo > Homo sapiens. The sequence goes on from NC_000022.11 coordinate 15,266,944, forward strand.
ACAGCATGGGATAATATGTGACCACTGAAGGTAGAAATATGTAGAGAAGTAGGTGACATTTGAAAATATATTTTGGTGTATCAAGTGAGGGTAAAGTTCAGTTTGATTATACATACACACAGACTACAGTCTTGTGTTATCTGAAATTGTGTATGAAATACGATAAAATTTGTTATTTGAGGGCATTGGTTTTAATATAAAATGTTTTTCCTTTTTATTATCTTTGATTTCCACATTGAGCATGTACAATGCTATTAGAAAAAGTTTATTATTAATGAAATAATTTTTAAGAAGAGCAAGAATATAATTTTGCAGCAGTAAAAATTATTTCTCACCTTCCATATTTTAATTATTATTTTTTGTGGATTAGTATATTCTGTGAACTTTTAGCATCTTCAAAAGACAATCTTTTTACCTGTGCTTGTTGATTTACATATACATCTTATTAGGCATATATTTTTATTATATATAGATTTATTACATATATGTCAATAATTATAGATTAGTGTACTTTTATTATTAAGAAAACAAAATAGAAAATATAAGTGTTTTATAGCAGTTTTTTTAAGGTATTGAACTTCTCAACTGTATTTATCCTTTTAATCAGTTTATCACATGTAAGCTGAATGCCTATTATGTATAAGATACATTAACTCTCAAGATCCTTTCATCCTTAAAAATTTTACATTTACCTGCTCAGCCTTAGCAAAGTGAGAGATTTAAAGTTGGAGTACTGGGACTGAATCTCAATTGAAGCTTTTCCTCTCTTCTTTAAAACAAAAACACTTCTGAAGTGAGAAACTAGTAAAAGATAACTACCAACCACGATTTCAGAATTTTATAACAGCTTTAAATAGTAATATTAATCATTGGAAATACCTAATTTACATGCAGTCTATAAATTTAAATATGAATTTACATACATTCTGTAAATCTAAATATGGAATAAAATGAGCCATACCTACTTGAATCCCAAGTTTTCTTTGGCTTGAAGTTTTAAAAATATTGAAGAAGTACTTTGTTTTAACAGTTTGTTTTTATTTCAACTCCCCTTTTGTGTAGCACTCTTAAAAGCTAAAATTTCTTTAAGTGTTAATCCTATGACTAGGACTGCCATCATCCTGTTTTATATACTGCATTCCACTTCATGGAAGGCATCATGAATTGTGTGATGCCTCCTTATTTATGTACCAATAAAAGATTCTTTAAATTTCTGCAAAATGTACTTGTAATAAATAATGACTTATAAGTGGCATTTCAATGTCAGAGATGTTAAAATATGAGAAATAGAGTATCTTAGAATTATTAAAATACAGTTTTATCTCTAACCTTTAAAACATATCACAACGTAGGCATAACTGTACCATTTTACTTAAAATGTTTTCTTTGTTAAGTAGTAGAAATAATTACAATATCTAACAATTACTGAGCTGTTACATGTGCTAGGAATTCTTTGAAATACATTGCACAGATTCTCATGAGGCATCACAGTGATGTCCTGTGAGATAACTGCTGTATTCATCTTCACTTTATTGATGAGAAAATTGAGGCACAGAAAGGTTAAGTGATAGCTAGAAGGTGAAAGACTTTAAAGTAATATTCAAGCTCAAGTTGAACTGAATCCAAAGGCCAAGCTCTTTCTATTCAAATAGGCCACTCTTTCATTAATGTAGTGAGTAATAAGAGTGAATGAATGTTGTTCTTTCTTCAGGAGAATATTAAATATTTGTTTTGAAGGCAGAGAAAGAGAATGGTATTTAATGTTGACAATTACATAAATCATTATATGCTTTGAGACAGTGGACTAAACTTTCCTAAAAAGTCCTCTCACTCTCGTAGGACTGCACTACACTGGGCCTGTGCCAATGGCCATGCAGAAGTAGTAACACTTCTGGTAGATAGAAAGTGCCAGCTTGACGTCCTTGATGGTGAAAACGGGACACCTCTGATGAAGGAAAATGGTAGCCAGTTCTTTCAGCAGGAGATGGATTTGGTTTAAATACATAGAATAAAAATGAATGTATCTCATTGAAATATAACTAGTTTGTGAAACCTGTGGAATATTTATTTATATTTCCTATAATTTATAATTTACTTCTTGCTTTAATACTGACAGGCTGTGCAATGCCAGAGGGAAGTTTGTGCAAATATTCTCATAGATTCTGGTGCTGATCCAAATATTGTAGATGTGTATGTCAACACAGCTGTCCATTATGCTGTTTATGGTGAGAATTTGTCAGTGGTGGCAAAATTGCTGTCCTGTGGTGCAGACATCAAAGTGAAGAACAAGGTAGAAGTTAACCAATGTTATTTTCAAAATATTTGAAATTCATTTGTTTTAACATTAACATATGTAAATTGTTTTATATTTGGAAGCTCAAACATTCCTATTTTTCTATGAAAATAGTTTGACAAAACTTAATTGTCTAGGATTTTGCTTTAAATATTATTATTTTTACAAGAACTATTAGTATGGCTTTTCTGTGCATTATGATAAATATTTGAGTTTGTTAAAGGTAAAATTTTTCAAATATTCTTTCCCACCTGTTTTTTTTTTCTTTCCTGTTAGCATAAAACTACAGGAAAGTAAAATTTGCCTGCATAAATTGAGTCAACATGTAAAATTTAGGAGACATGCAGAAATCTGGATTTCCTCTTAAAGGATTGAATCTGGTGTCTCTTGAGCCTGTATGACTGTTTGGTATGCTATGAAGACATTCTAACTTTACATAAAGCATATGTTTCCAGTTTGCTACTGTGTCCACCTAGTTACATCACTTATTCAACTTACCTCTTTTGCCTCTGTAAATATTTCAGTTATCAATTCCTCTCTCATAGTATATTTTGGTAAAGATTTCAAGTTATTGAAGACAGTTTACAGGTGTTTATAATATATAGTTTATATTTTACATTAATTCATTAGTAATGGGGTTGTCTTCTAGAATTTAGAATATTTTTTAAATGATGATTTTTCTTCATATAAACCATAAATAATCATTTTCTATTAGAAGGCCTTTAAGCTTTTTTAGATTAATCATGTTTATATTTGAATAGGTTATGCAAATTGCAGAAAATATTATATCTTTCTCCACAGAATTGTCCCTTAAAATTCAAGCGATTTAGTGGCTTCTATTTTGCTAATCCATATACATGAGTTAGAACTTTCATTAATAAGCCATTTTATTCATACTTCTGATATTTTCCCAAAAAATAGTATCAATTACAATAGAAACCGGAATAAAAATGGATTATTGCATTTTAAGAAGTGGATATGCATTAGGATCCTAGGAGTATCATTATAATTGAGAATAAACTTTTATACTGAATTGCTTTTCTTTTTTTCTTTTTTTTTCTTTTTGAGACGGAGCCTCGCTCTGTCACCAGGCTGGAGTGCAGTGGTGTGATCTTGGCTCACTGCAACCTCTGCCTCCCTGGTTCAAGCGATTGTCCTGTCTCAGCCTCCTGAGTAGCTGGGACGCAGGCATGTGCCACCATGCTCGGCTAAATTTTTTGTATTTTTAGCAGAGATGGGGTTTCACCATGTTGACCAGGATGGTCTCGATCTCCTGACCTTGTGATCTGCCCACCTTGGCCTCGCAAAGTGCTGGGATTAAAGGCATGAACCACCTCACCTGGTCTTTTATACTGAATTTCTAATAGCTTAGATAAAATCCTATTTTCTGGTAATAGGATAAACCCCATGGACCATTTAATAATAAGCAATCAAAGTTTATTTGAAGCCAATCTCTTTTAATTTAGAGCCACTTCCTTAGTGACCCATTTAGAGCAGGAGTGCCTGACATTGTCATCTGGAATCTTGGGATCATTGAGAGAAGAGAATCAAGTAAGTTTGTATCACTCAGAGGAAACCTCCATTTTTGGGGGGAAGCTTTCAAAACTGCATCCCTGAAATTCTAATTTGTCAAATGTTAATGTTTGCCACAAAAATATACTGTCAAATAAGGATTAGGTAAAGTTCAATTCATTTCTTGAATAATGAACATTTAATTCACAGTTTTATAACATTTCTTGAAAATAGATAATGGTGGAATCTGTTGGGGTACAATGATTCTGGTAAGGTAATTATTCTTTGGAATATAGTTGAAGAAACACTGTTCTAGAGGTAATAATTTAGATTACTAATTTAGTAAAAAACAAAGTATTTACTACTATGTCTTAGGGTTTAAGGATATAAAGGTAAAAGATACAGCCCCTGCCCTCAAGAAGCTCCTGGTTTAAATGGGAAACAATAAAATCATTACAATATAATGATTTTTGGAGATAACCGGAGTTAATGTGGTGATGCAGAGGCTGAATGTTTACAAGAGAAGGTGCAGTGCATGGGAAAGCACAGAAAAGTGAGAAAGAAGGGATTGCTATTGATTTACTTTCCATTGTTTAAGTTCATAGGATATTATATAAGGTATTCAGTTCAGCTGAGAAATATGTAATTTCATGAATTATAAATGGTTTTTGCTGTTTTACAGGCTGGCCACACACCACTTTTACTGGCCATAAGGAAAAGAAGTGAGCAAATTGTGGAATTTTTACTGACAAAAAATGCAAATGCAAATGCAAATTCAGTTGATAAGTTTAAATGGTATAGTAGTTTTTTTTATTAAAAAACACTTGAGTAGTGTGCTAGAGTAATAACACTCATCAGAAATATTAAATTAATAACATTTACTTAAAATTATTAGATTATACAGAAAAATACCAACACAAATTATCAGTTAGGAAGAAAAGCAATTATTTGGACTGGTCAACATAAAGAACAGTATATAGTAGGATTTTCTTCTTTTGTTATATTGACTGATTCTTATTTGTAATCTGATGTTTTTGGTTGCATTATCTTCTATTAGCTAAAGTGGTTCTGTATTAGTTTTAAGAAGTATGAATTTTTAGTTTACTTTATAATTCAATATTGAATGATTAACACCTTTATAGTATTTTTCTAACTTCTGTTTTTCATACACTTTTTAAAAATGCAATATTTGCTGGGCATGGTAGCTGTCATCTGTTATCCCAGCACTTTGGGAGGCCAAGTGGGTAGATCACCTGAGGCCAGGAATTTGAGACCAGCCTAGCCAACATGGTAAAACCCCATCTCTATGAAAAATATAAAAATTAGCCAAGCATGGTGGCACATGCCTATAGTCCCAGCTACTCAGGACAAATATTATTCCTAATATTGTTTTAAGTCTTCAGATTGCTCTCACTTGTCCGACTTCTAGCTAATTTTGAAGTACAAAATATTATATCAAACTAAGGAGGAAATAGATAATTCTCCACTTAAAACTTTGCCTCTTTTAGATTAGTGAACAGAACATATTTTCTTGCCCCTCAGTGGACTTTATGTTAGCCAATTCTACTATGCCATATCCCAGTGAGACATGAGTATTTTCACCCCTTCCTTTTAGCCTTGGTCGTGATTTACAAGGATAAACACTTGAGCACTCAAGATACTTAACATTTGTTAATACATGTAAATGGTTAATTCTACACTGACAGGCACATATTAAATTGGTTCTGTTCCTAATAATGAAGTTATCTCTTTGTTATTTTAGCACAGCCCTCATGCTTGCCATATGTCATGGATCATCAGAGATAGTTGGCATGGTTCTTCAGCAAAATGTTGACATCTGTGCTGTAGATACGTGTGGAATGATTGCAGAACGTTATGCTGTTGCTTGTGGATTTAATCTGTAAGTGTTTACATTTAAAGGTTAGGTGAGATTTTATAGTTTGTTTCAGGTAGTTTTTGAATGACAGTGAGTTAGTTCACTTCATCAGCCAGAAACTAGGCAAAAAGCTAGACTATTTAGAAGGAGTAATGGCTCCAGGATTCTCTGTTTTAGGGCTTTAGGGATGCAAATGTTGTCTACTTGATTTGAAGTATAACCCCTATGCATGGGATAAACATAAAGTCACAATTTTGGTTTTCCTAATTAGTTATTTGGGTCTCGAAATGTCCACTTTAAGCAGAAAACCTGATAGTGTCCCCAGGGGGCTGTCTTCCATACCTTCATTCTTGAATTTTTTAAAAGAAACTGAACCTAAGTCCAAGGAAGACATTCCTTTTGTACAAGTCAGAAGGATTGGGGGGGAAATGCCCATTCTCTTCATTTTGTTGTTTCCATTGATTCTGTTGCTGCATCGTTGCCATTGAAACTGCTCCTGCAGTCTGGTAATGATTGACTTTTGTGACCAGGATGCCCTTATTAACACAGATCCCTCAGTCTTCATGGTGTAGACTTTGAAGTTACTACATGTTTTTAAAATTCACGTACATATTCTTAGCCATTGTTTCCAAAGTACCAGCACCCTACTCTGGCAGCTAGAACTTTTAGCTTTAGCCACACACATAGTGAGCAAATTGACCCTTCTCCTCACACCCAAAACCTGATGTGAAACCCACATCTTAGCCTGGGCATGGCCTAGACCTTCATGGTAAGTTATCCTTTGAGTGGCTTTTTTCTATTTTCTCTAGCCAATATTAGTTGTGGTAGTTTGAAACTGTAAGTCAGGTTGAAATAATGTTACAGGAAGAAATTAGAGATCCATTTTGTCTTTGTTAACAGATTTATATCCCTGGCCCTTTATATCCTGTGTAGCACCATTTTGTAGGTAGTGGAAAGTCTCACCTTATTCTGTAAAATCCCATGTCATCTTTCCCAAGTTGTAGTGGGTTCCAACTTGTGGTTGTCCCCTCAAGTGATTCTTTTTTCCTAAAAGTAAAAATCTCCCATGCTACTTACATCTCTACCTCGAGATTTTAAAATATTTTCAAATGCTGCATCACCATGAAGCCATTCAATAGACTTCACTAAATCTCAAGTAAGTTGGTTAGATTTAACAGAGCTAAGCCTCATCCATCACTGATCAGTCTTCACGTATAAAAATAAGGATTTGTGCTGGCTTCAGTGGTACATATAGTAAAATTGAAACAACGTTGAGAAGATCAGCACGGTCCCCACACAAGGATGACATAGAAATCTGTAAAGTGTTGCATATTTCTTGCAGTCCCCAAAAGGACATTTTACTACTTTCTAACTAGCTCCAAGGAAATGGTGTGAGTCAAAGCAAAATGGGTGACACCAAGTATTGCAATTGTGATTTTCATACAAAAAATTATTTATGTAAGGTGGTCTATGAAATGAGATGTGGTAACCCATAGGATCTTGTGTGCAATATTTTGTTAGTAGGGATCTCTGAAATGAGAAAATACCAACTTGCATCTTCTTTGTGGAACTTACAAAAAATGAAAGTAGGGTTTTGTCTTCCACAGCAGCTGGAAATGAACATAGTGACTAAGCGTCATTCTAACAAAGATTTGTTGGTTCAGAATTTAAGGAGGTAGATTAAGAGTAGTAGTATTCCAAGCCACATGCTGACATCTATTAGTTTTCTGCCCTTGGCGTGACTGATGAGCTCAGTAATAGAGTATAATTAGGTTATCTGATTTAATGATTTAATATATGTATAAATAAATTTCATTACAAAATATAAAATAGCTTAGATGCTCTGAATTACAAGCCACATAGAATAGAACATCTAATATCCAAAAGTAGGAATTAATAACAGGAAATTGCAATATTTGAATATTATAACCTATGAAGAAACACATTTTTTTTTGTAATTTAATTTTTGTAAAGATATGGCCTCCCTACGTTGCCCAGGCTGGTCTTGAACTTCTGGACTCAAGCAATCCTCCTGTCTCAGCATCCCAAAGTGCTTACATCACAAGCATGAGCCACTGCACCAGGCCAATACATTGGGTTTTTTGGGAATTTTAAAATAGTTTCAGCAATAATGTTCAAGAACAAATTATTTTTTTGCTTCACTTTTTATTTTAAGCATTTTTAAAATGTTATCTTGTTAAATCTTTATAATAACATAGTGAAATAAGGCCCTAAAATCCTCATCGTTAGAAGACATTGAGTCTAAGAGAAGCAACTTGTTCAAGAAAAAATACCTGTTGGTAGCCATGCTAGGACTTATTCTGAGGTAAGGATATTTTCCATATATCAAGCTACCTCTGGTTAATTTACTGAGTTATACTGCCCTCACTTCATGAGTGTTTTATCTTTCTTTCTTCTTTAATTAGAAGCTTAATAAGTTCATAGAGCTTACAAACTTAAAGACTGTGGAAAAAGTAATGTTCTGATGTTAGCTCTAATGTTGTCTGAAATACCCTAAGAACTTAATAAATTTGGTAAATGTTTTTTATATCAATGTTAAAATAGTAATTTTATTTATTTCATTTTTATACAAGGCATTCATCAACAACTTTTGGAATACAAACAAAAGATATCTAAAAATTCTCAAAATAACAATCCAGGTAAGACATCTGATAGTAAACTACTCTTGGTGGTGCTACCATGAGATTATAGGAGTGTTGATCACAAAAGAGCTATTAAAAAAGCAATGTGTAAGTAGCAAGTGTTTACATATATATCTATATGTAAGTGTTTTTATATATACATAGCTTTGATTTAATTTTTTAGTTTATAATTCAGAATTCATTAAGAATTTAGTTGTAGGTGGTTTATAATCTCAAAAATATTATCTGAAAAGATATTTGTTTAATTGTGGTCCCTAATATCCTATATAATACTTTTGTATAAATAAGTAAAACAATTTTTAAGTTTATATATTGTATGTTTTCTCAACTGTCATAACAATTTATGCTTGTTATAAAATGTAGAATCCTTGGTGTGATTGATGAACTCAGTAATAGGGGATTATCAGCTTATCAAATTTAATGAATTAATATATTTATAAATAAACTTTATTACAAATTATAAAATAGCTTAGATGCCTTGAATTACAAGCCACAAATAATAGAACATCTAATAATGAAAAGTAGGAATTAATAACAGAAAACTGCAACATTTGAATATTATAAACTATAAAGGAACACAGTTAAATAAACTGTTAAATAAACAAATATTTATGTTTGTTTATTAAACATAAACAAACATATAAAATGTTTATTTGTTAAATAAAAAAATAATTTATTTTTTTGTTTGTTTCTTTATTGTAGAGACAAGGTCTCCTTATGTTGCCCAGGATGGTCTTGAACTTCGGGGATTTATTTAATTTTTACAATAAATGATTTGCATTTAGAAAATTAGAATTAATTACAGTTGAGTCTTGAGCAAGATGAGAATTAGGGTGCTCATCCCCCCATGCAACTGAAAATCTGCTTTATATGAAAATCGGTTTCTTTTGACTCCTCCAAAACTCTACTAATTGTCTACTGTTGACCTGGAGCCTGAAAAAAGGTGAAAGCAGAAGCAGTCAATTAACCCATAATTTCTATTTTATATGTACTATATACTGTATTCTTAGAATAAAGTGAGCTGGAGAAAAGAAACTGTTATAAAGAGGAAGAAATATGTTCACTATTTATAAGATGGAAGTGAATTATACATAAAGGACTTCATTCTCATTGCCTTCACATTGAGTAGGCTGATAAGGAGGAGGCAGAGGAGAGATTTGTCTTGGTATCTTGCAGTGGCAAAGGAAAAGAAAAATCTGTCTATTAGTGGGCTCCTAGAGTGAAAACCCTTATTCAAAGATCAACTGTGTGGCATAGTGACTTGTGTCACTAAAAAAGTAACTCTCTTTAGAATTTGGAACTCAATAATACTTTTCTTGAACCATAAATGAATGTCAATAAGAATTAACATAACTTAACGAGGGTGCATCAGTACCAATAGGAGATTATTTTTCAAAGATACCTACCGAGTGCAGAAGTCAGAAAAGCAATTCTTTGTTGAGAAGTGCAGGTTATGTTACATAGTCTTGTACCAACAAGGTCTCACTATTATCTACTTCATTCCCTCTAAGTTGAAACCAAATAAGATATATTTACTTCATTAGAACAAGATATGTTGTTCTATCTGCTGGATAATTAGTGTGTTAATAGTAATTTTGTTACAACAAGTTACTCTGTTCCTACTAGCCAAAATATTATCATTATAAATATCCAACTAGCTCAATTCTAGGCTCAACAAATTATAATAAAAGTGGAAAAAGTTTTCACAATAACAAAAGTGCTACTGTGATACCTAAATGTGACACAATACATTGTACAATATGAACTGTATTAGCACTTCTTTAATTTATTACATATTTATCAAAGGACTTCTATAAGTTAGATTTTGCAAGTTGCAGGAGACCAAGATGGAATACACATAGTCTGGGTCTTTAAGGTGCTCATAATACATTAGAGCTGTCTCTATTGAATTTCTGCATTTTTCCAACAGAATTTCCTAACTATGTTTTTTATTTGTTTATCCACTTGTCCACTTAACAAATAACTGTCAGGTATCTTTAGGGTACTAAGCATCTTTCTTGTTATTATCATTGTCATTTTTTATTATTTACTACTTTATTAAGGTACTAAGCATTTTTCTTGTTATTATCATCTTTTTTATTATTTACTACTTTATTTAGTGCTTACTCTGTGCCAGAACCCCTTTGGGAGCTTATAATTATCACTTATTATGTCATTACCATATTCAGTATGTGTCAGACATTTTATATCCAACGTGAAGAATTAAAGCTTTAAAAAGTTTGATAGTGTCCAGGAGCGGTGGCTCACTCCTGTAATCCTAGCACTTTGGAAGACCAAGGCAGACGGATTGCTTGAGCTCAGGGGTTTGGGACCACCCTGCCTAACATGGTGAAATCCCACCTCTACTAAATACAAAAAATTAGCTGGGCCTGGGTGGCATGCATATGTAATCCCAGCTACATGGGAGGCTGAGGATTTCATGAACCCAGGAGGCGGAGGTTGCAGTGATCTGCTGAGATCGTGCCACTGCACTCCAGCCTGGGTGACAGAGCAAGGCTCTTGTTTCAAAAAAAAAAAATAAGGAGAAAACAAAAGTTTGGTAGTATTTAAAGAAAGCAAGCTGAATGAGTAGAAGTTTTGCAAGTTAAGAGTCAGAAGGATGATATTTAGCCAAAGGAAAATTTAACCAGACTGTGTGTTTGGCAGAAGGAACATCTGAAGGAACACCTGACGAGGCTGCACCCTTGGCAGAAAGAACACCTGACATGGCTGAAAGCTTGGTGGAAAGAACACCTGACGAATAGGATACAGTGAATTCATCTTCAAAGATTTTAGCCTGTAAAAATCCTTTAAAATTCAAGAGGGGGAAGATTAAGTACAGTGAGTTCTGAGTTCCTCATCAAAAAAAAAATATGTCAGTATGTCCAGCTTCTCTGTTCTTTTTTCTCCGTTTTAAAGTTTAACTTCCTCGTTCGTTATGCCTCCTTGCCCCTAGTTTCATTAAACAACCCCCTCCTAGCCTCTAACACCTGCTTTGTCTTTAGTCATTCTTAGTCACCTGCTCTGTCCTTAGTCATCCTTAGACACCTGCTCTGTAACTGGCTTTCCCGCTGAAACTACTCACCCTGCCACTCCAGCTTATACCCCTACTCTCTTTGAAATAGCCAATCTGAATTAGCTTAGAGTGTGCAGTCCAACCCTATCCAATAGGGAAAAGACACAACAGTAGGGACTAGCTGCGTTAGGAGTAAGAACACTTTCCCCTCCCTTGTCCGGTGTGATCTTGCCATTGCTCCATCTGCAAGACCACTCTTCCATAGAAGTAATTTTGCCTTGCTGTAAAAACTTGTGGCTGGAGTGCTGACTGTTCTTTGTGGCACCAAAAATTTATTTTCCACAAATTTGGGGGCCCACCCAGCATTCCCATTCTCCTCTGGGGGAGGGTCCAGTCCTCTCCCATGAGGAGGCGCACCCCGCTGCCTTGTTGCAGTGGCCATAAAGGTAAGGAATCAAGACTCAACTGGTGCGATTAATAAACCTGGGCTCTCAGCAACGTGGAAAGAAACAGGCCAGCATCTTTGGGGAAAGGATCTTCACATGCCGTGGTGACCATGTAACTGTGCATAGACTGAGGTAAGAAATGTCACAGGGGTGACAAAGTATTTCCTTGGTGGTCGGGATATTCTGGAGGTTGAAAGTGTGTGTGAATGATCACAAGCACTACTGCTTGTGGTGCTGTTTGTGTGGATGATACTAAGCATTATTGCTGTGAGGAGTGAGTGGGTCCTATCTGCGGTTTTTTATTTGAATAAAAAACCTTTGAAGAGGAATTCACTGTATCCTCACAGGGCTCAGGGCAGATCCTGCTGTGGGTTTTATACCATGGTGCCAATGCTAAGAGGGACCTAAAATTCCTGGGAGGGAAGCAACCAGAGTGGATGAAGCAAAAGAAGGGGGCAAGGAGCCTCCAGTAGGTGGGGTTAAAAGATAGGGAAGAAATCTCTAGCATGTGGGATTGAGCCTAACCAGGACCTAACATGGGAAAAGCCCCAAGTAAGACAGGGAGCAAAAAAGAAGAGGATAGTAACAAAGACATGCCCCCTGATAGTCCCCTGGGTCTCATGTTAAAATATTGGAAGGATAATGAGAGGAGTAAACATAAGAAAAAGCATCAGAAGATAAAATATTGCTGTTTCATTTGGACCCAATGTCCCATTTTCAAACCCTCAATCTTCTGGCCAAAGTTTGGGTCGAATGAGGATGTAATGTGTCAACTTCTAATTCAATATGTTAATGATAAAAATCTGGTTTCTCAAGAAGAACTAGACTATGCTCTTTGTTGGAGACAGGGACCTGTCTTTATTCCCTTAAAGACAACTAGGGAAGAACCCGATCCAGCATCTCAAATTGAAAAGTCAGACGAGCTGACTCCCACACCTAAAGCCAGCACATGGGATCCCCTATACCATTTTGCCCTGCTCAGTGCCTCTGACCCTTCCCCTTGGGCAGCTGCTGCCACCCCAGATCCCACCCCAGATCCTTCTCCTGCTCATGATGTTCCTCCTCCTTACAACTCTAATTCTTGGGAGTTATCATCCCATGAGCCTGTCCCCTGTCAACCTAAATACCTCTCCTTAAAGGGACTCCAGCATGAGGTACAGCAATGTAAATAGGACATTCAGAACTTCCCTTTTCTCTCCACACCTAAGGAGTCAGCCCCAACTCTCTTCCCCTTAAAAGACATGCCACAAGGAGGAGGAGCCATTGTATTTGTGAAGGCTCCCTTGACCAGTTCAGAAGCCTGAAGTTTGAAAAAGGAAATTAAGCCATTGTTAGACGAACCTTATGAGGTAGCAAATCAGGTTGATCAATTCTTGGGACCTCAGTTATACACTTGGGTCGAGTTTATGTCCATCCTAGGCATCCTCTTTTTGGAGGAGGAAAGAAGCATGATCTGATCCATAGGGCTGCTATGGCAGTTTGGGAATATGAACACCCTCCTTGTCAAAACGTTCCTACCACAGACCAAAAATTCCCTGCCGAAGATCCCCAGTGGGATAATGATAACGCAGCTCACCAAGAAAACATGCAAGACATAAGGGAAATGATAATGAAAGAAACTAGGGAATCAGTACCCCAAACTCAAAATCTCTCTAAAGCATTTGATATACAACAGGAGAGAGATGAGTGGACTGTGAAATTATTAGACAGACTAAAGGAGCAGATGAGACAATATGCAGGCCTAAATTTGGAACGTCCCCTGGGACAGGGAAGGTTAAAACTCCATTTTGACACTAAAAGTTGTCCAGATCTAAATGCTCCAATTAAAAGACACAGACTGGCAAATTGGATAAAGAGTGAAGACCCATCAGTGTGCTGTATTCAGGAAACCCATCTCACGTGCAGAGACACATATAGGCTCAAAATAAAAGGATGGAGGAAGATCTACCAAGAAAATGGAAAACAAAAAAAGGCAGGGGTTGCAATCCTAGTCTCTGATAAAACAGACTTTAAACCAACAAAGATCAAAAGAGACAAAGAAGGCCATTACATAATGGTCAAGGGATCAATTCAACAAGAAGAGCTAACTATCCTAAATATATATGCACCCAATACAGGAGCACCCAGATTCATAAAGCAAGTCCTGAGTGACCTACAAAGAGACTTAGACTCCCACACATTAATAATGGGAGACTTTAACACCCCACTGTCAACATTAGACAGATCAACAAGACAGAAAGTCAACAAGGATACACAGGAATTGAACTCAGCTCTGCACCAAGCGGACCTAATAGACATCTACAGAACTCTCCACCTCAAATCAACAGAATATACATTTTTTTCAGCACCACACCACAACTATTCCAAAATTGGCCACATAGTTGGAAGTAAAGCTCTCCGCAGCAAATGTAAAAGAACAGAAATTATAACAAACTATCTCTCAGACCGCAGTGCAACCAAACTAGAACTCAGGATTAAAAGTCTCACTCAAAACCTCTCAACTACATGGAAACTGAACAACCTGCTCCTGAATGACTACTGGGTACATAACGAAATGAAGGCAGAAATAAAGATGTTCTTTGAAACCAATGAGAACAAAGACAAAATATACCAGAATCTCTGGGACACATTCAAAGCAGTGTGTAGAGGGAAATTTATAGCACTAAATGCCCGCAAGAGAAAGCAGGAAAGATCCAAGATTGAAACCCTAACATCACAATTAAAAGAACTAGAAAAGCAAGAGCAAACACATTCAAAAGCTAGCAGAAGGCAAGAAATAACTAAAATCAGAGCAGAACTGAAGGAAATAGAGACACAAAAAACCCTTCAAAAAATTAATGAATCCAGGAGCTGGTTTTTTGAAAGGATCAACAAAATTGATAGACCACAACAAGACTAGTAAAGAAGAAAAGAGAGAAGAATCAAATAGATGCAATAAAAATGATAAAGGGGATATCACCACCAATCCCACAGAAATACAAACTACCATCAGAGAATACTACAAACACCTCTATGCAAATAAACTAGAAAATCTAGAAGAAATGTATAAATTCCTCAACACATACACTCTCCCAAGACTAAACCAGGAAGAAGTTGAATCTCTGAATAGACCAATAACAGGAGCTGTAATTGTGGCAATAATCAATAGCTTACCAACCAAAAAGAGTCCCAGACCAGATGGATTCACAGCCGAATTCTACCAGATGTACAAGGAGGAACTGGTACCATTCCTTCTGAAATTATTCCAATCAATAGAAAAAGAGGGAATCCTCCCTAACTCATTTTATGAGGCTACCATCATCCTGATACCAAAGCCAGGCAGAGACACAACCAAAAAGGAGAATTTTAGACCAATATCCTTGATGAACATTGATGCAAAAATCCGCAATAAAATACTTGCAAACCGAATCCAGCAGAACATCAAAAAGCTTATCCAGCATGATCAAGTGGGCTTCATCCCAGGGATGCAAGGCTGGTTCAATATATGCAAATCAATAAATGTAATCCAGCATATAAACAGAACCAAAGACAAAAACCACATGATTATCTCAATAGATGCAGAAAAGGCCTTTGACAAAATTCAACAACTCTTCATGCTAAAAACTCTCAATAAATTAGGTATTGATGGGACGTATCTCAAAATAATAAGAGCTATCTATGACAAACCCACAGCCAATATCATACTGAATGGGCAAAAACTGGAAGCATTCCCTTTGAAAACTGGCACAAGACAGGGATGCCCTCTCTCACCACTCCTATTCAACATAGTGTTGGAAGTTCTGGCCAGGGCAATTAGGCAGCAGAAGGAAATAAAGGGTATTCAATTAGGAAAAGAGGAAGTCAAATTGTCCCTGTTTGAAGATGACATGATTTTATATCTAGAAAACCCCATTGTCTCAGCCCAAAATCTCCTTAAGCTGATAAGCAACTTCAGCAAAGTCTCAGGATACAAAATCAATGTACAAAAATCACAAGCATTCTTATACACCAATAACAGACAAACAGAGAGCCAAATCATGAGTGAACTCCCATTCACAATTGCTACAAAGAGAATAAAATACCTAGGAATCCACCTTACAAGGGATGTGAAGGACCTCTTCAAGAACTGCAAACCACTACTCAAGGAAATAAAAGAGGATACAAACAAATGGAAGAACATTCCATGCTCATGGGTAGGAAGAATCCATATCATGAAAATGGCCATACTGCCCAAGGTAATTTACAGATTCAATTCCATCCCCATCAAGCTACCAATGACTTTCTTCACAGAATTGGAAAAAACTACTTTAAAGTTCATATGGAACCAAAAAAGAGCCCACATCACGAAGTGAATCCTAAGTCAAAAGAACAAAGCTGGAGGCATCACACTACCTGACTTCAAACTATACTACAAGGCTACAGTAACCAAAACAGCATGGTACGGGTACTAAAACAGAGATGTAGATCAATAGAACAGAACAGAGCCCTCAGAAATAACACCGCATATCTACAACTATCTGATCTTTGACAAACCTGAGAAAAACAAGCAATAGGGAAAAGGATTCCCTATTTAATAAATGGTGCTGGGAAAACTGGCTAGCCATATGTAGAAAGCTGAAACTGGATCCCTTCCTTACACCTTACACAAAAATCAATTCAAGATGGATTAAAGACTTAAACATTAGACCTAAAACCATAAAAACCCTAGAAAAAAACCTAGGCTTTATCATTCAGGACATAGGCATGGGCAAGGACTTCATGTCTAAAACACCCAAAGCAATGGCAACAAAAGACAAAATTGACAAATGGGATCTAATTAAACTAAAGAGCTTCTGCACAGCAAAAGAAACTACCATCAGAGTGAACAGGCAACCTACACAGTGGGAGAAAATTTTCGCAACTTACTCATCTGACAAAGGGCTAATATCCAGAATCTACAATGAACTCAAACAAATTTACAAGAAAAAAACAACCCCATCAAAAAGTGGGTGAAGGACATGAACAGATACTTCTCAAAAGAAGACATTTATGCAGCCAAAAAAACATGAAAAAATGCTCACCATCACTGGCCATCAGAGAAATGCAAATCAAAACCACAATGAGATACCATCTCACACCAGTTAGAATGACAATCATTAAAAAGTCAGGAAACAACAGGTGCTGGAGAGGATGTGGAGAAATAGGAACACTTTTACACTGTTGGTGGGACTGTAAACTAGTTCAACCATTGTGGGAGTCAGTGTGGCAATTCCTCAGGGATCTAGAACTAGAAATACCATTTGACCCAGCCATCCCATTACTGGGTATATACCCAAAGGACTATAAATCATGCTGCTATAAAGACACATGCACACGTATGTTTATTGCGGTATTATTCACAATAGCAAGGACTTGGAGCCAACCCAAATGTCCAACAGTGATAGACTGGATTAAGAAAATGTGGCACATATACGCCATGGAATACTATGAAGCCATAAAAAATGATGAGCTCATGTCCTTTGTAGGGACATGGATGAAATTGGAAATCATCATTCTTAGTAAACTATCGCAAGAACAAAAATCCAAACACCACATATTCTCACTCATAGGTGGGAATTGAACAATGAGATAATATGGACACAGGAAAGGGAACATCACACTCTGAGGCCTGTTGTGGGGTGGGGGGAGGGGGAGGGATAGCATTGGGAGATATGCTTAATGCCAGATGACGAGTTAGTGGGTGCAACGCACCAGCATGGCACATGTATACATATGTAACTAACCTGCAGATTGTGCACATGTACCCTAAACTTGAAGTATAATAATAAAAAAAAAATAAAAATAAAAAAATAAAAAAATTTGTCCAGATATTTCTTTTTATTTTTTTGAGATGGAGTCTCTGTCTGTCACGCAGGCTGGAGTGCAATGGTGCAATCTTGATTCACTGCAAGCTCCGCCTCCAGGGTTTGCTCCATTCTCCTGCCTTAGCCTCCCCAGTAGCTGGAACTACAGACGCCCACCACTACGCCCAGCAATTTTTTTGTATTTTTAGTAGAGACGGGGTTTCTCTGTGTTAACCAGGATGGTCTCAATCTCCTGACCTCGTGATCCATCCACCTCAGCCTCTCAAAATGCTGTGATTACAGGCATGAGCCACTGCGCCTAGCCAACGTTGTCCAGATATTTCAAAAAAGTTACAAAAATTAGAAGATTGGGAAAACTGACCTCAAGTGAACTTCTCAGAGAGATTCAAAAAGTATCTGTGAAGAGAGACGAAGAAAAGCAAAAACAAAAGACAAAACTTATGTTATTCACCTTCCAACAGATGGCTCCAAATCCATGTACCCCTAAACAGAGCTTCCAGTGGGCCAGAAACTATAAAGGTTCCAAACCCTCCTTTAAAGGACCCAAGCCTCCATTGGGAGGATCAAGGCTCTCGTCTACCAGGCCATCTAAATAGTATAGGGGAGTAAAATCAAAGAATCCCAGAACTGAGAGTGGGGAAGGGCAAGGTAGGCACTAAAAATGTGGAAGAACAGGCCACTTCAAGAGAGAATGTCCCAAATTAGAAAAGGAAAAAGAGGCCCTTCCACTCATGGCTTTTGAGGAAGAATAATGGGGTCAGGGGTTCTGTCTCTTTTATCTTGAGTCCCACCAGGAGCCCTTGATAAGTCTAGAAGTGGGACCTAAGCATGATTTTATAACATTTTTAGTCAATTCAGGAGTGGCTCGATCCTCTGTTTGTTTTCCCCCCATCTAATATTGCCTACTCTTCAGGGGAACTTTTGGTTTGTGGGGTAAATGGAGAAGGATTTAAAGCAAAAATTTTAGAAAACACAGAAGTCAGATACCAGGCTCAATCAGCTCATATTCAGTTTTTGCTAATCCCTAAAGCAGGGACTAATTTACTAGGGAGGGATTTAATGTTGAAGTTAGGCATAAGCCTGCAACTCGGCCCAAGAGGTTTCCTCACCTCATTAAAGCTACTCACCACTGCAGATGACAAATATATTAATCCTAATGTCTGATCCAAAGAAGGAAACTGAGGGAACCTCTGAGTCCCTCCAACCACATCAAGCTAAAAATCCCCAAGGAAGTAGTAAGGAGGAAACAATACCTCATTCCCCTAGAGGGCAGGATAGGTTTGAAACCTATAATTGAAAGTCTTATTAAAAATGGGCTTCTTGAGCCCTCTATGTCCCCTTAAAACACCTCAACATTGCCAGTCAAGAAATCAGATGGGTCATACCGGCTGGTACAGGACTTTAGGGCTATTAACCAAATAGTCCAATCTACCCACCCCATTGTCCTCGATCCTTACACAATTCTCAGCAAGATTCCATATAATAATCAATGGTTTACTGTAATAGATTTGAAGGATGCTTTTTGGGCATGTCTCCTGGCAGAAGATAGGCAAGATATATTTACTTTTGAGTGGGAGGATCCCCATTCAGGGTAGAAACAACACTATCGATGGATAGTCTTACCCCAAGGGTTCACAGACTCCCCTAACCTTTTCAGTCAAATTTTAGAACAAGTATTAGAAAAAGTTATCATCCCAAACAAATATGCCTGCTCCAATATGTTGATGATATTCTTATATCTGGTGAAGATATAGAGAAGGTAGCTGGCTTCTCTACACATATTCTCAACCATCTGCAGTTCGAGGAGTTATGAGTCTCGAAGAAAAAAGCTTCAGTATGTAGAACCTGAAATTAAATATTTAGACCAGTTGATAAGTGCAGAGAAGTGAAGAATAGGGCCTGAATGAGTTGAGGGAATCGTGTCCCTACCCTTGCCTCAAACTTAAACAAGAACTCAGGAAATTTTTAGGGTTAGTTGGATACTGCTGCTTATGGATTAACTCACATGCACTAAACAGTAAACTTCTATATCCAAAATTTGCCGAGGGGAAGACTGACGACCTGCTGTGGACCTCTGAAGAAGTCGATCAGGTTGAAGAGCAGATAAAAAGGCTTATAACAGCCCCTGTCTTAGCCTTACCTTCCCTAGAAAAGCCATTCCACCTTTTTGTCAACGTGGATAATGGGGTAGCATTAGCAGTGCTCACTTAAGAACACGGAGGCCATCAGCAGCCCATCGTGGCCTTCCTGTCAAAAGCCTTAGATTCAGTTACTAGTGGGTGGCCTCAATGTATCCAATCCATTGTGACTACAGCACTAATGGTCAAAGAAATCAGGAAGTTAACCTTTGGAGGAAAATTGACAGTGAGAAAGCCCCATCAAGTTAGAAATATCTTAAATCAGAAAGCAGGGAGGTGGCTTACTGACTCAAGAATCTTAAAGTATGAGACTATTCTGTTAGAAAAAGATGATTTAACATTAACCACTGATAATTCTCTTAACGCAGCAGTTTTTCTAATAGGGGATCCAAATCTAAAGAGATAGCACACATGTTTAGATTTAACTGATTACCATACAAAGGTCTGACAAGACCTAGGATAAACTCCCTTCAGGATGGGATGACACTTAATTATAGATGGCTCCTCCCAGGTGATTGAGGCAAAAAGATGCAACAGGGAATTCAGTAATTGATGGAGAAACTCTTGAAGAAATTGAGGCAGGAAAATTGTCTAATAATTGGACTGCCCAAACTTGTGAGCTGTTTGCACTCAGCCGAGCCTTAAAGTACTTGCAGAACTAGGAAGGAGCCATCTATACCAATTCTAAGTACGCCTTTGGAGTGGCTCATAGATTCGGAAAAATTTGGACTGAACGAGGTCTCATTAATAGTAAACGTCAAGATCTTGTTCATAAGGAGCTATTCACCCAAGTATTGAATAACCTTCAGTTGCCAGAAGAAATAGTGACTGTCCATGTCCCCAGACACCAGAAAAGTCTTTCTTTTGACAGTCTAGGAAATAACCTAGCAGATTACATAGGCAAACAGGCTGCCATTTCTTTTAAAACATCTATTTTTCACTGAACTCTTTACCTTCCTCCTCCTGACATAATCTCCATTTTCTCCTCCACGGAAAAGAGAAACTAATAAAAATAGGTGCTAAGGAGAATTCAAAAGAAAAGTGGATACTGCCAGAGCAGAGGGAAATGTTGTCCAAACCCCTTATGAGGGAAAACTTGTCCCAACTTCATCAAGGGACCCACTGGGGTCCCAAGCCATGTGTGACAGAGTTCTGAAAGTTTTTGGGTGTATAGGGATTTATACTCTGGCCAAACAGGTTACAGACAGTGGCATAGTGTGTAAGAAAACTAATAAACAAACTATAAAAAGATTACCCCTTGGTAGAAGGAGTCCAGACTTAAAGTATCCAGATTGATTACACAGAGATGCCTTCAATAGGTCGTCTAAAATATTTACTAGTGACAGTAGATCACCTTACTCACTGGGTCAAAGCTATTCCCTTTTCAAATGTGATGGCCAATAATGTAGTTAAGGCCTTAATTGAAAATATAGTGCCCAGGTTTAGGCTAATAGAAAACATTGACTTAGACAATGGAACCCATTTTGCCTGAAACTATTACATTTGATGCTTGCCTTGTTATACCTTGTGGAGCCTTGTCAGGCCAAAGACAGCTCTCCACTTCAGAAAAGTACCTCTGTACTTCCCGGCTGTCCTCAGACTGGACATTAGTGAATTTGGATCATTTAGTCTGGGAAAGTTTCAATGAAGACCCCAGTGTCAACTGGGAGTCTTGCCCCCTTTACACAAAGCTTTTATGACGTAGTTGGTCCAACTATGTGCAAGTGAGAGCAAGGATGGACTGCCCCAACCAGTAGTTGTAATTCCTAAAACCATACATTCATTTTACTAAAGATATAGCTCCCCCTAACTTTCAGGTAAACTAGTGTAACTCAATACAGCTTATTATTTCAAACTCTCAAAGTTCTTCCCCTTCTCTAAGTCACTTCCCTTCTTTAAGCTGGTTTTATGATATGGGGGCTGAGTTTTCAGAAATAGACCCTATTGGATCTTTGAAATATGCTTCATTGCTCCCCTACTGTCTACAGCTTCCCCTAAGTCTTCTTCCAAAAACTCTCACAATGAAACTGTTGTTCCTCCTCCATCTAATGACAAGACCAAGGTAGCTATTGTAGAAGTTAAAACAAACTTTGGCAACTGAGACAGGATATCAAGATGCGAATGCCTGGTTGGAATGGATCAAATACTCCATTCACACTTTAAACAAAAGCAATTGTTATGCTTGTGCACACGGCAGACCAGAGGCCCAGATTGTCCCCTTTCCACTAGGATGGTCCTTCAGTCGACCAGGCATGGGCTGTATGGTAGCTCTTTTCCAGGGTTCCACAGCCTGGGATAACAAGTCATGTCAATCTCTCTCTCTGCTATATCCCAAAGTTCAACACCCTGCAGGTCAGCCCCCAAGGGCCAACCAGCTTCCGTCTCCCGACACTAAGTTCACTTCATGTCTCTCACAACAAGGAGGAAACTTAGCTTTGCTTGGAGACCTAAAAGGATGCAGTAAGCTTAAGACTTTCCAAGAGCTTACCAATCAGTCAGCCCTTATACACCCCTGAGCAGATTTATGGTGCTATTGTGGTGGACCTTTACAGGACACTCTGCCAAGTAACTGGAGCAGCGCTCTTGCTCTAGTCTAGTTGGCTATACTTTTCACTCTGGCATTTCATCAACCAGAAAAAGGGAAACCACAACATCGTAAAGCAAGGGAAGTCCTTTATGTGTCTTTTGACTCCCACGTTTATTTAGATGCTATTGGAATCCCATGAGGAGTACCAGATACATTTAAGCCCAAGATCAAATAGCTACCGGATTTGAATCGATATTTTGGTGGGTGACAATAAAAACGTAGATTGGATAAATTACATCTATAATAATCAACAGTGGTTTGTTAATTACAGCAGGGATGTTGTCAAGGGAATAGCAGAACAATTGAGGCCCACTAGCCAGATGGCCTGGGAAAACAGAATGGCCCTAGATACGATATTAGCTGAAAAAGTGGTGTTTGTGTTACGATTAAAACTCAGTGTTGTACCTTTATCCATTGGGGGCAAACAACACTGCCCCCAATGGGAGCATAACAAGGGCCCTACAAGGATTTACTACTTTATCCAATGAATTAGCTAAAAATTCTGGAGTCAATAACCCTTTCTCAAGATGGCTAGAAAGGTGGTTCAGTAAATGGAAAGAAATCATAGTCCCAATTCTTACTTCTCTTACAGCAGTAACGGGTGTACTCATTCTTGTTGGGTGTTGTGTCATACCATGCATCCATGGGCTAGTGCAAAGGCTTATAGAAACAACACTTTCTAAAACCTCCCTTAGCTGTCCGCCACCTTATTCAGATAGGCTTTTCCTTTTAGAGGATCAAGTTGAAAAAAAAAAAGCCAAGACATGTTAAAAAGGTTTGAAGAGGAAGGGCTACAAAAATTGAAAGAGGCAATTGTAGAATACAGTGAATTACTCTTCAAAGGTTTTAACCTGTTAACGTCCTTTAAAATTCAAGAGAGGGAAGATTGTTAAGTACAGTGAGTTCTCAGTTCCTCTTCAAAGAGCCAATAAGTCAATATGTTCAGCTTCTCTGTTCTTTGTTCTCCATTTTAAAGTTTAACTTCCTCATTCTTTATGCCTCCTTGCCCCTAGTTTCAGTAAACGACCTCCTCCTAGTCCCTATCACCTACTCTGTCCTTAGTCATTCTTAGTCACTTGCTCTGTCCTTAGTCATCTTTAGTCACCTGCTCTGTAACCATCCTTCCTGAGGAAACTACCCACCCTGCCACTCTGGCTTGCACCCCGTCCTCTTTGAAGTAGCCGGTCAAAATTAGCTTATAGTGTGCGGTCCAACTCTAGCCAATAGGGGAAAGATACAGCAGTAGGGACTATCTGCATTAGGAATAAGAACCCTTTCCCTTCCCTTATCCAGTGTGCTCTTGCCATTGCTCCATCCTCAAGACTCACCCTTCTATAGAAGTAAATTTGCCTTGCTGGAGTGTTAACTTGTTACTGGAGTGCTAACTCTTCTTTGTGGCACCAAAAAGTTATTTCCAACACGAAGCTGCACCCTTGGAGGAGGGAACATCTGACGAAGTTCAATGCTTGGGGAAAACAATATCTGGAAAGATTGAACAGTCAGCAGGAGAAACACCTAGGAAAATTACAAGACCTGTGAAAAAAAATCTGAGAAATTTGCATGGCCACAAGAAAGACCTACAAAGACCACATGTGAGGAAGAAGAAACATCTGTAAAGACTGAATGCGTGGCAGGAGTAACATCTAATAAAATTGAAGTTTTGGAAGAAGGAACATCTAAGATGATCACATGTCCTACAAAAAAACAGCTACAAAAGCAAGTACAAATGGTAAGATGCTTGAGTGAACTTTGTAGAGTTTATTGGCACTTTGGGTTCCCTAGTGGAAATAGTGTGGTATGGGAGTAGTCGGGAATGGCTTGAATGTCTAGATAAGGCAAGCTTAGGCAACACATTTTAATAGTGTAGAAATGAGTAGATCTTATTCTGTAGGCCCTGGAAAAATTCCCAGAATACTTCTGGCTGTAAATATTAGATGAACTAACTAACAATTGCTAAAACCATAGAAACCAAAGTTGTTTTGGTGGTAAAGGGATATTATAGGATCTCACTCTCTCCCCCCATTATTAGTTGTGCTATCAGCAGCGTTTTGTTCATGTCTCCTTTCTTGGTTGGCTAATTAGCAACAGCTCCAATCATCATGCTAACTAAAGACAATATATGAAGGCTGGGAGGGTTGCTTTTGTTCACATTTTTTTTTTAAATAGGAAGAAAACTTGGAAGCTTGCAGTAATCTTCCTGTAACATTTTATTTGCTGGATTATACTACATGCTTATTTCTATAGCAATCACTAGGAAACCAAATGTAATTACTGAGATTAGCTTAGAATAATGATTTTTCTTTTAAGATTGGATAGGGGTAATGGAATAATAAATATCTAAATGAACTTGTGTTTCTGCAGCAATAAAGAATAAGTAATGACTATGCATAGGAAGCCAGTAAAGTTTTCTGCAGGAACTCAGTGGAAAAGTTTGAGTAGGGGAGTCACAAGATTAGATTTGAGTATCAGGGCATTCTGGTCACGGTATAAAGAAGAGATTGGCAAACTTTTCCTGTAAAGTGCCAGATAGCGAATATGTTGGGCCATGTGGTCTCTATTACAGCTATTCAACTCTGCCATTGTAGGGTGAAAGGAGTCATAGATAATGGATGGGCAAAGAGGCATGATCGTACTCCAATAAAAGTCTGTATAAAAAACATTTAGTAAGCTGAATTTGGCCTGTGGCCTATAGTTTCTGGCCCTTCATATAGAAGATAGATGGAGGATAATCACATAAAAAGATTTAAAGATGAAGCTTTTGTAGTAGTTCATGTGATAGTTTTTTTTTTTTTTTGTAACCAATCTGTGGCCTAGTATCAATCTATTATGAAAGTTTGATCCGTCAAGGGTAAAATGAATCAAGTTCAGAAGCTCAATTTACACATTTAAACATGTAGGTCCTTCTTTGGCATTATTTTATTTTGATTAATTTTTTTAACTTAAAAAATAAGAACAGTAATTTGTAGGGTTTCTTTTTCCCTGTGAAATCCATCAGTTAAGGGGCCACGTTTAACTAGGAAATATAAATATAAAATAAATAAGTACGTATTTCCAGTGGCACTGGAAAGATAAAGCAAAGGCAGAAAAGAGGTGCAGTTAATATGGCTTAGTGATAATTGAGTTTAAAAAGCTAGGGGATAGATAAAATCTCAGGTCACTCATAAGTTTTCAGATTGTGCACAAGGATTTACAATGCTCATGGGGAAGGAGTAGGAATTTGTCAGGTTAACAGAGAAGTGCAAACAGTCATGGGACAGACCAATAGTTTTCTTCACATGTTGAGTTCAATGAAACATTCATGGGGGATACATTCAGTAGGCAATTGGATTATATGCATTTCTAGCTGGAGATAGAAC
Source organism: Homo sapiens (assembly GCF_000001405.40). Lineage (NCBI taxonomy): Eukaryota > Metazoa > Chordata > Mammalia > Primates > Hominidae > Homo > Homo sapiens. The sequence goes on from NC_000022.11 coordinate 15,292,653, forward strand.
TCTGGTTGAAAATGCAGGCTTAGAATACTTTTATTATAATTATTAGGCATAGCCATAGATCTCAATGAGCTTATCCATGAGGCAGAAGATGTAGAATAAAAAGAAAGCCATTGAGAAAACCCTGGGAATATCAACATTTTACAAGAGTCAAAGGACTTGGTAAAGGAGGCTGAGCAGTGGTTAAAGAAATGTAGGAGAGGAGTCTGAGAAAGTGATGTTACCAATTTCTTTTAAATGTGAGAATTTCAAGCAGTAAAATTACTCAAAAGTCTACTGGATTTAACTTACAAGTTCTTCAGTGGTAATCTGTTCAAAAGAATTATTTTAGAGTTGTTAGGTATACTTTTGATGTGATTGATATTTCTGGTATCCAAGAAGAAATCTCCCAAGATCCTACCTAACTTTTTGTAACTAAAGCAGCATACATACACAGGGAGTGGGAAAATGTCTAGACTGGTGAGTACACATACCAACATTTTTCCAGAATTTTCTTCCTCCTTATTATACCACTTGAGCAAGGGGTTTAGAGATTTTAGACTATACTTGGGAATTTGTCTATTTCTCTTGCAGTTCTGTCAATTTTTGTATCATGTATTTTGAAGCATTTGTGTTATTATTACATAAATATTTAGGACAGTTATGTTTTCTTGATTAATTGAACCCTTTGTCACTATAAAATGACCTTGTTTATTGCTGGTAATATTTTTGCTATGAAATGTACTTTGGTGTTAATACAACCACTCTTCCTCAGCCTTCTTTTTTCAAGTGTTAGTGTGGTATATCTTGTTTCATCTTTTAACCAATTTTTGTCTTTATATTTAAAGTTTATTTCTTATACACATTATACAAGTAAGACTTGCTTTTTTATCCATTCTGACAATCTACCTTTGAGCAGAGGTTTTTAGGCCAGTTTAATTTATAATGTAATTATTGATATGATTAGAGTTGTCTGTCATCACACTGTTTGATTTCTATTAGTCCCAGATCTTCTTTGCTTTGCTTTTTTTCTTTTTCTGCTTCCTTCAGACTAGTTTAGTAATTTTTATGATTTAGTTACATATCTGTATATGCATAACTTTTTTAGTTATTAATCTAGTTTTACATTTCTTTATGATTTAGTCATATCTTTTTTGGTATAAGTTTATTTGGTATTAGGTATAACTCTTTGTTGTCTTAGTAGTTGCTTTAGGATTTATACTGTATGAATTTACCTCATCACAATCCACCTTCAAGTAATATTATATCATATCATAGATGGTATAAGAAATTACAATCATATTTTCATTTCTTTTCTGTCAGCCAGATCCCAGCCTAGATGTGTGGGATTATGGCTTTTGTTAAGTTTAAAACGTATTTAGCCAATTTTTCCTCAAATTTTTTATTCTGCCTCTCCTCCTACCTATTTGGGGACTTATATATTACCTGCTGGAACTTTGCTCATAGTTCACTAATGTCTCAAATTTGTGAATCTCTTATTTCATGATGGTGAATTAATCTGTGCTCATATCTACTCAGTGCAGCTTTCATCTCCAGCATTGTAACTTGTATCTCTACAAGTGCAATTTGGTTTTAAAAAGTATCTTCTATTGCTTAACTTATCTTCTTGATTTTTATAGTAGAATAGAGTTGAGTTACTTATAAACAGCTTGATCCTTTTCATTTTTCTTTTTATGGTATGAGCTAACTCCCCATACCCGAGGCAAGGCCTTTCTGAGTATTCATTTTCCTGTGAAGTCTGAGTTTTCCCAGTCAAATCTATAAAAATAGATGCTCTTCTTGGCACTGTGTGGGCACCAGGTGTGACTTCCTCTAATTTTATAAGCCACCCCCCACCCCCACCCGGTTTGTTCTTAGGTAGTTTCCTAGCTCACATGCAATTTTCAAAATTTTGCTAACTACTGACAGGGGGTTTCTTGCCGTTGATTCTGTATCTCTCTCTCCTCCTCAGTGTTTGTTCTGTAATATCTGTCTGCTTTGGTTTTACCAGACTCTAAGCTTCATCAATGTAACCAGGAGAGTCTGGTAGATCCCACCTCAGTTTTTTCTTCCTGTGTCATGTCTCGGAATCTCTGTCAAGGCAGGAAGCTGAAACATTCATAAGGTTTGCTTTCTTTCGTGTTTTTTTTTCTGTTTTTCAGGGATTATTATCTTCTTTGCCTAATGTACAGTGTCTAAAAAATTGTTTAATGTATTTTGTGTGTTTTGATTTTAGTTATTTTAGCTAAGAAGAAAAATCATACCTGTTGCTCTCCCTTGGCTAGAGGCAGACTACACTAGAGTTTCAGCACATGCCACAGACTGGCTAAAGTGCTTTCCTTCCTTGTTTGCTCAACTGCTTCCTTTTCATTCTTCATTCCTCAGTGTAGCTATACATCCCTCGGGGGAATTTTCCGTGAGCCTAGTATAGATCTAATTCTTAGCAATCTGTTTTCTTACAGTATCTATCTGAATTTATAACTGTCACTTTTCTGGAGCTTTGTCTTTTAGCACATTTTAAGTTAAACACAGGCAGAGGTTTTGCTTTTATCTGTTTAATCTGCAGAGCTTAGTATAATGCCTTCTACCTGGTAGGCAATCAATATATATTTGTTCAGTGTATGAATTAGTGATTTTTAAAATATGCAGTTCTTTTTATCCCAAAAGTACTAATACATTTTATTTCTATCTCCTCCTTGAGACAGATTCAACTAGCCTATCAAAAATCTTGGATGCAGTTCTTTCTTGTGAAAGAGCAAGGGAACTTAAAAAATATCCCTGTGAGCCAGGTGCTGTGGCTCATGCCTGTAATCCCATCACTTTGGGAGGCCAAGGCGGGCAGATCATGAGGTCAGGAGATCAAGACCATCCTTGCTAACACAGTGAAACCCCGTCTCTACTAAAAATACAAAAAAAAAAAATATTAGCCGGGCATGGTGGCGGGTGCCTGTAGTCCCAGCTACTCAGGAGGCTGAGGCAGGAGAATGGCGTGAACCCAGGAGGTGGAGCTTGCAGTGAGTGGAGAACCCACCACTGCACTCCAGCCTAGGCAACAGAGAGAGACTCCGTCAAAAAAAAAAAAAAAAAAAAAAGATAAAAAAGAAAAAAAATCCCTGTGAACAACTTACAGCAAAAATGAAACAAATGAAAAATAAGCTTCGTGTACTACAAAATGAACTATCAGAACCAAAAGAAATAAAATCATAGAGAATCAAAAAGTTAAAAGAGAACAAGAGCTCTGCAGTCTGAGGTATGATATACTAGTATATAGGATACTTTTTGTACTAGCTGACTTACCTTCTGAGGTTTAACTGGAGAAAGAAATCTCTGTCTTGTAGAGTGTCAAATTCATTTAAATAATACAAGTTCTTAACTGTGAATACATCTCCTGATAATTAAATACTTATTTATTTAAATCACAATTTTAATGGCTACATAGAAGGCCATTATTCGGAAACCCCATTATTTACTTAACAAATTAATTTTTTATTTTTAATTTTTTTGTGTTATAATAAGTGTTGCAAGGCATAACTGCATGTAAATCCTTTTGTACCATTCTAATTATTGACTTGGAATAAATTCTTCAATATAAAAATATTTGGTTAAATTATAGGAAGTTTTTAAGAAGTTCTTTGTTCATTACTTCTAAATTGTTCCCAAGAAAATTTATATTCATTTATAGTTCAACAAAGGGAGTGTGAAACGGCCATTCCTCTACCCCCAATAATCATTTTCCTTTAATTATACACTTTTAATCTTAATATGCATGGAGTATAAAGAAAAATACAGAGTAATTTATGACTAGTATATTCAACATCTCTCTCTCTCCTAAATAAATAAAATTAATTCCGAGTTCTATGTTAAAAATACTTATTATTTTTATTTTAAATTAAATATTATATTCTGTCTTATTCTAAAAGAGATTTAAAATTTGTTGATAAAATATATAATAATCAACAGATACATTTAAAGTATTACTAAAAAAAGAAACAAAAGATATATGGGATAACAGATATTAGATTCTCTAGCCTAGTCTCAGATTTTAATATTATAATTATTTTTAAGGATACTTGCCTTATTTTATGAAGATGAATATTTATGTCTAATAAATATGTAAACTTGTTTATAAAAAGTAACGTCATTTTAATTAGTTAACTCTAAATGATCTGTCCTCATTGAGGAGTAATTTTGACTGTTATATTTTTAAAATAATAATTTTCAACTTATAACTTTACTGGATAGCTTCCAGTATTCTTTTCCATAACAGTTGTTGAAGTTACTAGTAACAGAATCTTTCTAACTAGAAGATATTCTTTTCTCACTATTGTTCAAGCATGTGTGTCATTTGGAAGAGAGTTCAGTAATAAAATACCTCAGAACTAGAAAGGAAAAACGTATTCAAGAATATAAGAATTTCATTGGAATAATAAACCGATATAGGAAGAAGTAGATCTCAAAGTGAATTCTATTTTCTAACAAAATGAATTTTAAGATAAGTATATTTAATGGCAGATTGACTTTAAAACAAGAATAAGAGAAGAAATGCCAATATATTAAAAGAAAAAATAGGAAAGAATTAGGAAAATTCGAAGAGCTGCAAAAGAAAAAGTTAGAAGTGAAGCAACTTGAACTCGCTCTCCGAATATACAAGATATGGAATTGAAGATGGTAAGAAGTAATTTGAATCAGCTCAATCAATCGCTGGTAAAAATTTTATATTTCTAACTTTATTTCATCAATATTACTTTTAATATCCATTCGATTTAGTAGGTATTATTCAGAATTATGATAATGCCGCTATAATATTTAGGTACAAACTTTTGTATATTTCATTCATAAGTTTTCATTTCTATTGGGTATGTACCTAGGAATGGAATTGCTGGGTCGTAAGGTACCTATGCATAACCTTTTCAGCAATCACCTCACAGTTTTCCAAAGTGTGCACTATTTTACTGTCCCACCGGCAATGTATGAAAGATCTAATTTCTCTAAGTCCTCACCAGGCTGGAGTGCAGTGGTGCACTCTCAGCTCTCTGCAAGCTCCGCCTCATGGGTTCACGCCATCCTCCTGCCTCAGCCTACCGAGTAGCTGGGACTACAGTCGCCCGCCACCACGCCCGGCTAATTTTTTGTATTTTTTAGTAGAGACGGGGTTTCACCATGTTAGCCAGGATGGTCTGGATCTCCTGACCTCATGATCCGCCCACCTCAGTCTCCCAAAGTGCTGGGATTACAGGAGTAAGCCACCGCACCCAACCATTTGTCAGTTTTTATTGTAGGTACACTAGTTGGTGTTAAGTGATGTCTGCTTGTGGTTTGATTTTGCATTTTCTTGATGGCTTGTGATGTTAAGCTTTTCTTCATGCACTTATTGAACACTCTTTTATCTTCTTCACAAAAGTGTCTATTTAAATATTTTGCCTATTTTTATGTATTTTTTCTTTTTACTGTTGAGTTGTAAAAGTTATTTGTGCATTTTGGATACAGATTTCTAATCAAATATATAAGTTGCAAACATTTTCTCCACTTTTCTGGTTGTCTTTTTATTTTCTTTGTTACGTTCTTTGAAACACAAATGTTTCTAATTTTGATGAAGCTCAGTACATTTTCTTTTATCACTGTGCTTTTGGTGCCATATCTAAGAAACTATTGCCAAATCCCAGGCCATAAAGATTTATTGTTATCTTTTATTCTAAGAGTTTTATAGTTTTCCAATTCAGAAACATAAAATCAAATACTGCATGTTCTTACTTAAAAATGGGAAATAAATAATGCGTAAACATGAACAAAGAGTGTAAAATGATAAGACACTGTAGACTCAGAAGGGTGAGGGGTGGGAGGGGGAAGGTTGATGAGAAATTACTTAGTGGATACAGTGTACATTGTTCCAGTGATAAACACACTAAAAGCTCAGACTTCACTCCTACCCCATATACCCATGTAACAAAATTGCACTTGCACTCCTTAAATTTATACAATTTTAAAAAATGGTTTTAGAGTTTTGGTTCTGTGATTAATTTTATAATGTTTTATTGTGGTAAAGCCTATGTAATAAGCTTTGCCGTTTTAAACATAAAATTCGGAGGCATTAATTACATTCAGAATGTTGTGCAATCATCAAAACTATGTATTTCCAAAATTTTTTTTCACCCCAAACTGAAACTCTGTACTCATTAAGCAATAACTCCTCATTCTCCCTTTCCTCCCAAGTCCCTGGTAGGAATAAATTTTATGGTATTTTAATTAATTTAAATGTAAAAAACTAAATGCAGCTGGTGGCTATCATACTGGACCTCACAGTTCTAACACCACCAGTATCAACCCCTGGACAGATATAATCATTTCTAAGCTGCCTTTGTATTTATTATTATTCTATTTATGGTAATCTGTAATCTATTCTCCCACAAAGCTGGACAATTCCTGTAAGAACATATCTTATACCATTTCATTCCCAGCTCTGAATCCTCCAGTGGTTATCTATCACAATTAACAAAGAAATCCAAGCTCTTTACTATGTTCTGTATTTGTCTGCTCCTCAGAGTGTGCATTCTCCTTTCCTCCTCCCAGTGCCTGCAGCCTGACTGGTCTTTGTAGTGATCTTTGAGCTCATCAAGCGCTGTCTGTATCCAGACTCTGCACAATGTCTCTTCTCTCTGCCCTCTAGACATTCGCTTAACTCACTCCGTCATACCATTCTGACCTGCTCAAGGGTCATCTCCTCAGAAAGATTGTTCAAGAGCTCTCTATCTAAAGTAGCAGTCCCTGACACCCTGAATGTGATTACCCTACCTTATTTTCTTTGTATTATTATACTTTTTATTTAGACACGGTCTCACTCTGTCACCAAGGCTGGGGTGCAGTGGCACAATCATGGATCACTGCAGCCTCAAACTCTGGGGCTCAAACAGACCGCCTGTCTCAGCCTCCCTAGTAGCTGGGACTATAGGTGAGCACCACAGCACTTGGCTAATATATTTCTTCATAGCGCTTAGTACATCCATCACTTTAGTGTGCAACTGTTTATGCATTTATGTTCTATCTCTGTCACTATACTGCAATCTCCATAAAGACAGACCTTCTCTCTCCAGTTCCCATAATACTACCCAGCATAAAATAGGCTGTAAGTAAACATTTATTGAGTACATAAAAGAAGAATCTTATTCATGTCAAGGTTGTAATCTATGTTAGATTCAAAGAGATAGTCTCCTGACTAAATAGGAGTGTTTCTTTTTGAAGCATGCCTTTAAAAAAAGTGTTGCACATGGTGGATAAGCTTTTGTATGTGCTGCTGGATTCATTTTGCCAGTCTTTTATTGAGGATTTTCACATCAATGTTTATAAGGGCTATTGGCCTGAAATTTTCTTTATTTGTTGTGTCTGTCAGGTTTTGGTATCAGGATGATGCTGCCCTCATAAAATGAGTTAGGGAGGAGTCCCCCTTTTACCATTGTTTGGAATAGTTTCAGAAGGAATCGTACCCGCTCCTCTTTATATCTCCAGTATAATTCAGCTATGAATCCATCTGGTCCCGGGCTTTTTTTGGTTGGTAGGCTATTCATTACTGCCTCAATTTCAGAACTTGTTATGGGCCTATTCGGGGATTCTACTTCTTCCTGATTTTGTTGTGGGAGGGTGTATGTGCCAGGAATGTATCTGTATTTTCTAGATTTTCAGGTTTATTTGCAGAGAGGTGTTTATAGTATTCTCTGAGGGTAATTTATATTTCTGTGGGATCAATAGTGATACCTCCTTCATCATTTTTTTTTTGAGATGGAGTCTCACTCTGTCACCCAAGCTGGAGTGCAGTGGTGTTAGCTCACTGCAACCTCCACCTCCGGGGTTCAAGCAATTCTTCTGCCTCAGCCTCCCTAGTAGCTGGGTCTACAGGCACACACCACCACACCCAGCAAATTTTTGTATTTTTAGTAGAGATGGGGTTTCACCATATTGGCCAGGCTGGTCTCGAACTCCTGACTTTGTGATCCACCTGCCTCGGCCTCCCAAAGTGCTGGGGTTACAAGCATGAGCCATCGCACCCAGCCCCCTTTATCATTTTTTATTATGTCTAATTGATTCTTCTCTTTTTTCTCTGTTAGTCTAGCTAGTGGTCCATTTATTTTGTTAATCTCCTGGATTCACTGATATTTTGAAGGGTTTTTCGTGTCTCTATCTCTTTCAGTTCTACTCTGATCATAGTTATTTCTTGTCTTCTGGTAGCTTCTGAATTTGTTTACTCTTCTCTAGGTTTTTTAATTGTGATATTAAGGGGTTGATTTTAGAACTTTCCAGCTTTCTGTTGTGGGCATTTAGTGCTATAACTTTCCCTCTTAACACTACTTCAGCTGTGTCTCAGAGATTCTGGTACGTTGTCTCTTTGTTCTCACTGGTTTCAAACAACTTTGTTATTTCTGCCTTAATTTCATTATTTACCCAGTAGTCATTCAGAGGCAGGTTGTTCAATTTCCATGTAATTGTGTGGTTTTGAGTAAGTTTCTTAATCCTGAGTTCTAATTTGTACACGTACAAATTAGAGTACACCATGGAATGTTATGCAGCCATAAAAAATCATGAGTTCATGTTCTTTGCAGGGACATGGATGAAACTGGAAGCGACCATTCTCAGCAAACTAACACAGGAACAGAAAACCAAACAGTGCATGTTCTCACTCATAAATGGGAGTTGAACAATGAGAACACATGGACACACGGAGGGGAACATCACACACAGAGGCCTGTCAGGGGTTGGAGGGGAAGAGGAGGGAGAGCATTAGGACAAATACCTCATGCATATGGGGCTTAAAACTAAGATTACAGGTTGATAGATGGAGCAAACCACCACAGCACATATATACCTATGTAACAAACCTGTACATACTGCACATGTATCCCAGAACTTAAAGTACAATTTTTAAAACAGATATAAATATTGTATACATAAAAAAGACACACAATGTTTATGAATAGAAAGATTTTATATTGTAAAAAAGTCATTTCTACTCATTAAATTATGGTTGAATGCAATCCTACTCAAAATCCTATCAGGTAATTTAAAAATTGACAAGCTAATTTAAAATTTTTTTGAAAATTTAAAAGGACAAGAAGAACCAAGAAAGTTCTGAAGAAGAACAGATCTCAAGAATGTATACCATCAGATGTCTCCAACTTTATTACAATTAAAATAAGATGGTATTAGCAGGACATACAAATAGAGAAACCAAAAACAAACTCATACTTATACCATCACCTGACTTATGACAAAGGTGAAACTGCAGTGCAGTGAGGAAATAATAATCTTCTCAATAAATGGTGGTAGATAATTTGGATATCAATATGGGGGAATAAAAGACTTTAACCCCTGTCTTGCATCACAAACAAAAATCAATCGTAAGTGGGTTATAAAGCTCAATCTGAAAGGTTAAAAATTAAAAAAAAAGCTTCTGTAACACAGAAGAATACCTTTATGACAATGGGGTAGACAGAAATTTCTTAAGCAAGATTAAATAAGCATTAACTACACAGAAAAATTCTGATAAATTGAACTACATTAAAATTAAGAAATTGGTTTTAACGAAGTCACCATTAAGAGAAAGAAAAGACAAGTTAAATTGGGAGAATATATCTGCAATGTTTAGGTCCAATCAAAAATTTATATCCAGAATATATAAAAATTTCCTACAAATCTTCATATATTCTGGTTATAAACTTTTGATTGGACATAAACTAAAAAGTCCAGGATCAGACGGATTCACAGCTGAATTCTACCAGAGGTACAAAGAGGAGCTGGTACCATTCCTTCTGAAACTATTCCAATCAATAGAAAAAGATGGAATCCTCCCTAACTCATTTTATGAGGCCAGCATCATCCTGATACCAAAGCCGGGCAGAGACACAACAAAAAAAGAGAATTTTATACCAATATCGCTGATGAACATCGATGCGAAAATACTCAATACAATACTGGCAAACCAAATCCAGCAGAACCTCAAAAAACTTATCCACCATGATCAAGTGGGCTTCATCCCTGGCATGCAAGCCTGGTTCAACATAAGCAAATCAATAAATGTAATCCAGCATATAAACAGAATCAATGACAAAAACCACATGATTATCTCAATAGATGCAGAAAAGGACTTTGACAAAATTCAACAACGCTTCATGCTAAAAACTCTCAATAAATTAGTTATTGATGGGACGTATCTCAAAATAATAAGACCTATCTATGACAAACCCACAGCCAGTATCATACTGAATGGGCAAAAACTGGAAGCATTCCCTTTGAAATCTGGCACAAGACAGGGATGTCCTCTCTCACCACTCCTATTCAACATAGTGTTGGAAGTTCTGGCCAGGGAAATCAGGCAGGAGAAAGAAATAAAGATTATTCAGTTAGGAAAAGAGGAAGTCGAATTGTCCCTGTTTGAAGATGACATGAATTATATATTTAGAAAACCCCATCGTCTCAGCCCAAAATCTTCTTAAGCTGATAAGCAACTTCAGCAAAGTCTCAGGATACAAAATCAATATGTAAAAATCACAAGCATTCTTATACACCAATAACAGACAAACAGAGAACCAAATCATGAGTGAACTCCCATTCACAATTGCTTCAAAGAGAATAAAATAAATAGGAATCCAACTTACAAGGGATGTGAAGGACCTCTTCAAGGAGAACTACAAACCACTGCTCAAGGAAATAAAAGAGGATACAAAGAAAAGGAAGAACATTCCATGCTCATGGGTAGGAAGAATCAATATCGTGAAAATGGCCGTACTGCCCAAGGGAATTTATAGATTCAATACCATCCCCATCAAGCTACCAATGACTTTCTTCACAGAATTGGAAAAAACTACTTTAAAGTTCATATGGAACCAAAAAAAGAGCCTGCATCACCAAGTCAATCCTAAGCCAAAAGAACAAAGCTGGAGGCATCACGCTACCTGACTTCAAACTATACTAGAAGGCTACAGTAACCAAAAGAGCATGGTACTGGTACCAAAACAGAGATATAGACCAATGGAACAGAACAGAGCCCTCAGAAATAATACCACACATCTGCAACCATCTGATCTTTGACAAACCTGACAACAACAAGAAATGGGGAAAGGATTCCCTATTTAATAAATGGTGCTGGGAAAACTGGCTAGCCATAGGTAGAAAGCTGAAACTGGATCCCTTTCTTACACCTTATACAAAAATTAACTCAAGATGGATCAAAGACTTAAATGTTAGATCTAAAACCATAAAGACCCTAGAAGAAAACCTAGGCAATGCCATTGAGGACATAGGCATGGGCAAGGATTTCATGTCTAAAATACCAAAAGCAATGGCAACAAAAGCCAAAACTGACAAATGGGATCTAATTAACTAAAGAGCATCTGCACAGCAAAAGAAACTACCATCAGAAGGAACAGGCAACCTACAGAATGGGAGAAGATTTTTGCAATCTACTCATCTGATAAAGGGCTAATATCCAGAATCTACAAAGGACTCAAACAAATTTACAAGAAAAAAACAAACAATCCCATCACAAAGTGGGTGAAGGATATGAACAGACACTTTTCAAAAGAAGAAATTTATGCAGCCAACAGACCATGAAAAAATGCTCATCATCACTGGTCATCAGAGAAATGCAAATCTAAATCACAATGAGATACCATCTCACACCAGTTAGAATGGCGATCATTAAAAAGTCAGGAAAAAACAGGTGCTGGAGAGGATGTGGAGAAATAGGAACACTTACACTGTTGGTGGGACTGTAAACTAGTTCAACCATTGTGGAAGTCAGTGTGGTGATTCCTCAAGGACCTAGAACTAGAAATACCATTTGACCCAGCCATCCCATTACTGGGTATATACCGAAAGGATTACAAATCATGCTGCTATAAAGGCACATGCACCCATATGTTTACTGCGGCACTATTCACAATAGCAAAGACTTGGAACCAACAAAAAATGTCCATCAATGATAGACTGGATTAAGAAAATGTGGCACATATACACCATGGAATGCTATGCAGCCATGAAAAAGGATGAGTTCATGTCCTTTGTAGGGACACAAATGAAGCTGGAAACCATCATTCTCAGCAAACTATCGTAAGAACAAAAAACCAAACACTGTATGTCCTCACTCATAGGTGAGAATTGAACAATGGGAACACTTGGACACAGGAAGGGGAATATCACACACCAGGCCCTGTTGTGGGGTGGGGGAAGAAGGGAGGGATAGCAATAGGAGATATACCTAATGTAAATGAGTAGTTAATGGGTGCAGCACACAAACATGGCCCATGTATACATATGTAACAAACCTTCACGTTGTGCACATGTACCCTAGAACTTAAAGTATAAAAAAAATTATTAAAAATCACTGAAATGTACACTTTAAAAAACAAAAAAAAAGAGTGTATTCTATCAGGATTCTGACTAGAGTGCTCTAGAGTATGACATAGGATAGGGAATGTCTTAATAAGCTTCAAAATTCTAGGAATAATGAACCTAGGAAAAAAGCTTTGAAAAATGCCAGGGATTCAACTGCCTCCCTGGCCTTTCCCTGCCAATCAATGTGCCCCAGCACCCAATTTACACAGCACTGTGTGCAGGTTTGTAAATAGACCTTCCAATTCTGCTATAATCAAGACCTTATTGTCCATAACTCAATTTGGAGAAGGTTTAGCTGTCTGCCAACTCTTGTGCAGAGTTTCTGTGAAGTTTTGTTTTGGGTTGCAAGAATCTGGAAAACAAATGCAGATATTTTTGAGGAAGATTTTGAAATTTCTATTTACAATGTACCCAAAATGGGATGCAAACTCGAATTTGGTTGATCTTCTGAAATACATACCTGTGTTTTAAGATTTGCTTGAGCAAACCTTTAACCATGGAAATTTGAAACAATGATTTCCGGGTTGAAATAATTCCAGTTTTGTCATTTAAATACCGCAAATGAATCTGTTTTAGCACAGGGTACAAATATCTTTTTTCCTTTTGTGCATTTGGCAGTAGTGTGTTTTGGTAATAAAACATAGCTCTGCATATTAATGAAACATAGCTCTGCATATTTTGTCTGGGGAAAATTAGTATTCTGTGAACAAAGTCAACAATTTCTGGCCTCGCATTAGTTTTCCTATTATAATTAAAACTTAGTTTTGGCCGGGCGTGGTGGCTCAGGCCTGTAATCCCCGCACTTTGGGAGGTCAAGGCAGGCAGATCACGAGACCAGGAGGTTGAGACCATCCTGGCTAACATGGTGAAATCCCGTCTCTTCTAAAAATACAAAAAAAAAAAAAAAAAAAATTAACCAGTTGTGGTGGCGGGCGCCTGTAGTCCCAGCTACTCAGGAGGCTGAGGCAGGAGAATGGCATGAACCTGGGAAGCAGAGCTTGCAGCAAGCCGAGATCAAGCCACTGCACTCTAGCCTGGGTGACAGAGAGAGACTCTGTCAAAAAAAAAAAACAAAACAAAACAAAAAAACACTTAGTTTTGAAAATATCTTGGTATTAAATTTCCAATGCTTCAATATTATAATGAAAACCTTGCTTTACTGAGAGCAGAAACATAATGCAGAAAAGAAAAAAGACCAACAGTCTCTAGATTGCTGGATTTATGTGGATATGATGGAGTTGGTGTTTAATGATTTCTCCCTTGAATCATAGCAAAGATGCTTTTGCGAAGCATAGCTCTTTCATAAATATACTTTCCAACCATTCAGCATTACCTATCTTTTGGTTCCTTTTGCTTTGTGTTTCTGCTCTGATATCATTTCTGGAAACAAATTACAGTAACAAATTTATTGAGAGCTGGCATTGTGAATTGTGCCTAGGATTTAAGTTGCTTAATACACTGCCCTCCCAAATCAAGAGAAACAGGCCATTCTGGGACAAACATAGCCTGTCTCACACAGGGGTCAGGAAGCAGAGATATCAGGCAATTGGGACTATGTCTTTATGATAGATATGGTTAGGCTTTGTGTGCCCACATCTCATCTTGAATTGTAATCCCCATGTGTTAAGGGAGACACCTGGTGGGAAGTGACTGGATCATGGGGGGTGGTTTCCCCCATGCTGTTCTTGTGATACTGAGTGAATTCTCATGAATTCTGATGGTTTTATAAATGGTAGTTTTTTCTGCACACACACACATGTTCTTTCTCCTGCTGCCATGTAAGAAGGTCCAGTTTGCTTCTCCTTTGCCTTTTGCCATGATTGTAAGTTTCCTGAGGCCTCCCCAGCTATGAGGAACTGTGAGTCAATTTAACCTTTTTGTTTTATAAGTTACCTAGTCTTGGGAAGATTTTTATTGCAGTGTGAGAATGGACTATTACAGTAAATTCATGCTGATAGAGTTGGGTACTGCTATAGAGATACCCAGCAATGTAAAAGCGACTTTGGATCTGGAGATGGAGATGAGAAACCTATTGGGAACTAGAGCAAAGGTCACTCTTGCTATGCTTAAGCAGAGACTGGCAGCATTTTCCCCCTGCCCTAAAGAGCTGTGGAACTTTGAACTTAGATGATCTGAAATTGAAACTTACATTTAAAAGGGAAGCAGAGCATAAAAGTTTGGGAAAATTTGCAGCCTGATAATGCTATAGAAAAGAAAAACCCATTATTTGGGGAAAAATTCAAGCCAGCTGCAAAAATTTGCATAAGCAACAGGGAGCCTAATGTTAATCACCAAGACAATGGGGAACATGTCTCCAGGGCATGTCAGAGACCTTCACAGAAGCCTTTCCCATCACAGACCAGGAGGTCTAAGAGGAAAAAATGGCTTTGTGTGCCGGGTCCAGGCCTTGCTGCTTTGTGAAGCCTCAGTACTTGGTGCCCTGTGTCCCAGCCACTACATCTGTGGCTAAAAGGGGCCAAGGTACAGTTCAGACCATTGCTTCTGTAGGTACAAGCCCCAAGCTTCGTTGGCTTCCATGTGGTGTTGAGCCTGTGAGTGCACAGAAGTCAAGAATTGGGGTTTGGGAACCTCCACCTAGATTTTAGAGGATGTAAGGAAAAGCCTGGATATACAGGCATAAGTTTGCTGCAGAGGTGGAGCCCTCATGGAGAACTCCATGTTAGGGCAGTGCAGAAGAGAAATGTGAGGTCAGAGCCTTCACACACAGTCCCCACTGAGGCACTGACTAGTGGAGCTGTGAGAAAAGAGCCACTATTCTCCAGATCCCAGAATGGTAGATCAACCAACAGCTTGCATTGTACATCTGGAAAAGCTGCAGACACTCAATGCCAGCCTATGAAAGCAGCTTGGAATGGGGCTGTACCCTGCAAAGGCACGGGGCAGAGCTGCCCAAGACCATGAGAGCCTACTTCTTGCACCAGTGTGACCTGAATGTGAGACATGGAGTCAAAGGAGATTATTTTGGAGCTTTAAAATGCAATGACTACCCTGCTGGATTCTGGACTTGCATGGGGCCTTTAGCCCCTTTGTTTTGTCCAATTCTCCTATATGGAATGGGAGCATCCTCATCCAATGCCTGTACCCTCATTGTATCTTAGAAGTAATTAACTTGGTTTTGATTTTATAGGCCATGCTAATCAGCATTCAGTTCCAGATTCCAATTTATTCTCAGTGTGCCTGTATAACTTTTCTTTCCATATATATAGAATTAAATTTCTATTACTTATTTGAATGTTATAGAATACTGTTCATACATTTAAAATAAAACCACCAGGTATAATGATTTCTGGCTTAGTATAAAAAAGCTTTTACCCAGTTAGTGTTATTTACACAGGTGGATGTGGCTCCACAACATTTAGAGAAGAAGAATAAATTAAGCTGTCATATGTTGCCATGACTCAGCCTCTGAAGAGGTTATGAAAAAATCCAAATTTCAGCAAAAGTATATGGTTGTTTTCAGTACCTCTGAAGGTGGTATATCAAGAATTCTCATGCTACTGTTTGAGAAAACAGATTCCGTTGTTACCTAGAAAATCAACTGCAAGACATTTTAATAACCTTACCCCATGTAAAAAAAAAATACATTGAAAGGTACTAATAAATGCAGACTACATTACTTGAAAAATGGTAATACAGAATACCACTTTTAATATTTGAGAATATGAATTTTTGGTAGAAATAATGTAAAATAAAGCTTCTGGTAAGCCTTGGGCAGTTAAATTTACATCAGTGTAAAGTAGGATGAAAATCTGTAAAAAATAAAAATAAAAAACACACAAAAACCTACACCAAAAAAACCCTAACATCCACCAATGCATACATATTGATCTTTGTGCTGGGAAAATCTAAAGCAGAACATTTTGGTAAACTTGATCGTTATTTATTTTGACTATATTGGCATGTTGATAAAACTGCTTATATTTAATTTGAGTGAAACATGTCCACATTATTAAAAGTGTTGCTTTGTACTATGAATGATGGATGTAAAGTCTTGATCCTCATCCAAATAAATATGGCAACACTTTCTTCTGCTTCTTTTGAGCTGAGGCATTATGAAAGCTCAAATTTGAAGTGAGAGGGACTTAACATCAGAGCCTGAGAAACCAAGAAGAATAAGGTAGGATGGTCAGCTCTGAAGCTCAGGGTGGCCTGGGGAAACTCAATATAATGATGTCAACTATGAAGCTTACTGGGTAAAACTACAAATAGGCTGATCTCATTTTACAAAGGTAAGTCAACACTCCCATTTCCAAGAAAGTAAAAAACAAAACAAGCAAATAAAACTAAAAATACAAACTTGAAAACATCATGGCTTAAATTTGGTGGGAAGAAGCCTCTGGGATCAAAAATACTTGTGCCAAAAGAATTGAGCCAGCCGGGTGTGGTGTCTCATGCCTGTAATCCCAGGACTTTGGGAGGCCGAGGTGGGCAGATCACCTGAGATCAATAGTTTGAGAACAGCCTGGCCAATATAGTGAATCCCCATATCTACTAAAAATACAAAAAATTAGCTGGGCATGGTGGCAGGCACTGTAATCCCAGCTACTTGGGAGGCTGAGGCAGGAGAATAGTTTCAACCCAAGAGGCGAAGGCTGCAGTGAGCCGAGGTCGTGCCATTGCACTCAAGCCTGGGCAACAAGAGCGAAACTCCGTCAATTAAAAAAAAAAAAAAAAGAATTGAGCCAGAATAAAATGTATTTAAGGGTTATTAAGGGGAATGTTTCCAGCACATAAGTAATTGTTCCACATCATATTATATTATATTAGGCAATATACTTTCATGTAATATCAGCTTCTCAAGACAGGGATGTCAAAGAGAAACTAAGACAAGTGCCTAATATGTCATTGGCATTTTGTTCTCAAATTTAACAAACTTGTAATGATTATATAAATTTTACTGAACTGTGTTTTATGTATAAACCTCACCTAAAGGCATTATCCAGTACATACAACCTTCAGTCTTTTCTGGGATGTTCTGTTGCCTGATTTCAAATCAAACTTATTGAAATTCTAGCAATTTCTCCAGTCCCAGATGTAAAAATAAAAAAGCAGAAATAAAGCCAAATTACCCCCAAAAGAATATGCATTATACTTATAGAACAAATGAACCCAAAACCACATAAGGTAAACAACAAAGCTACTGGTTCAAAATTAAGCCTAACTTCAACAGTACCAGGCAAAAACCATTTGTAAAAATTACCAAAGTCAAAATACAGAAACCTTTAGTCTATTATGCCTATAAATATCATGGAACCTGCCCCGATAGTCACGTAGGTTCTTTTCTATTTTCCCTAAGTGTCAACTGGTTTGAGAAATAAAGGGAGAGAGTACAAAAGTGGGAAATTTTAAAGCTGGGCATCCAGGGGAGACATCACGTGTCAGTAGGTTCCGTGATGCCCCCCAAGCCGCAAAACCAGCAAGTTTTTATTAGGGACTTTCAAAAGTGGAGGGAGTGTACGAATAGGGTGTGGATCATAAAGATCACATACTTCACAAGGTAATAGAATATCACAAGGCAAATGGAGGCAGGGCAAGATCACAGGACCACAGGACCAGGGCAAAATTAAAATTGCTAATGAAGTTTCAGACACCATTGTCATTGACAACATCTTATCAGGAGACAGGGTTTGAGAGCAACCTGTCTGACCAAAATTTATTAGGCAGGAATTTCCTCTTCCTAATAAGCTTGAGAGTTCTACAGGAGACTGGGGTTTATTTCATCCCTAAAGTTTTGACCATAGAAGATGGTTACACCCAAGGGGGCCATTTGTAGTCCCACCCTCAGGGGTGCATTCTCTTTCTCAGGGATGTTCCTTGCTGAGAAAAATAATTCAGTGATATTTCTCCCATTTGCTTTTGAAAGAAGAGAAATATGGTTCTGTTCCACTTGGATCACCAGTGGTCAGAGTCTAAGGTTATCTCTCTTATTCCCTGAACAATTGCTGTTATCCTGTTCTTTTTTCAAGGTGTCCAGATTTCATATTGTTCAAACACACAGGCTCTACAATCTGTGCAGTTAACGCAGTTATCACAGGGTCCTGAGGTGACATATGTCCTCCTCAGCTGACAGGATTAAGAGATTAAAGTAAAGACAGGCATAAGAAATCACAAGGGTATTGACTGGGAAAGTGATAAGTGTCCATGAAATCTTAACAATTTGTGTTTAGAGATTGCAGTAAAGACAGGCATAGGAAATTATAAAAGTATTAATTTGGGGAACTAATAAATGTCCATAAAATCTTCACAGTCCCCATTCTTTTGCCATGGCTTCAGCCGGTCCCACCGTTTGGGGTCCCTGACTTCCCACAACAAATAAAAAACTAGCATTAAATATAACGTTAAATATAACAGAACATATACAATTACAATAAAGTATTTTTAAATGGTAATCTTATTTACAAATATTTACCATATTTAGACAAGACTTTTAATGAAAAATACTTATAGCTACAATGTATGATTAAAACAGCCCTGGAAGAAATATTAATTCTATTAATAATAAAGATTAAGGCAGGGTGCAGTGGCTCACACCTATTATCCCAGCACTTTGGGAGGCCGAGGTGGGCAGATCATCTGAGGTCAGGAGTTCGCCACCAGCCTGGCCAACATGGTGAAACCTAGTCTCTACTAAAAATGCAAAAATTAGCCAGGCGTGGTGGCAGGCATCTGTAATCCCAGCTACTTGGGAGGTTGAGGAAGGAGAATTGCTTGAACCTGGGAGGTGGAGGTTGCAGTGAGCTGAGATTGCACCATTGCACTCCAGCCTGGATGACAAGAGTGAGAATCCATCTAAAAAAATATTAAAACTTCAAGGTTGTTGTATAATTTATCCTGGACACACAGCTAATGACCCAAATCAAGCTCAGATGTGTTTGATTTTAAAATTCTCCCTTTTCCACTGTGGACAATGTTGATGTAACAGTTAAATCTTGGTCTCAGAGTTGGTGGTTGGGAATAAATCAAGGCAAGTACTATTATGCTTTGTTTTGTATTCTTTATCACCAACATTTTCTTCTCTAATATGTCAGTATTTACATTTGGACCACAGCTGACTTTTACTGAAGTCTACTATAAAACATGGCTAAATTGAAAATTAATGTGATCACAAAATGATTTGTCATGAAAGCAGGTATATTTTTCAAGTTTCAGCTCAGTCACAAATTTGTATCTATTTGAATTTTTTGAAAATTTCTGACATATACTCAAGTAAATATCAAATGTATTGTTTTATTCAATTTTTTGGATTCAATTAAAAAGTAATTTATATTCAAGTTTGTTGTTATATTTACTTTTGACCAAATTTGACTTTCCAAACAGGAAAAGCTAAAGCATTTTTTTCAAAGGTTCAAGGGACTTAAGCTTACTGGCATCAAATGTTCTGTAGTAAAACAGGCAAATAAAACCTAACATTTTTATCAATAATAATTTAATAGTTTTATGTCTGAGAACCTAAGAATCAAAGACATCAACTCCAGATGATGTCAATTGCATAATTACACTGGTAAGATAGAAAATGATTATCAGAGTCTATCAAATGATGGATATGGCAACCTAACACTTGACAAAACCATTCAGGATGTGTTAGATAAACAAGAAGGTACTACTAATGTAAAGATTTTCTTTATCTAACTTTACTTTTTTTTTTTTTTTTTGAGACAGAGTCTCACTCTGTTGCCCAGGCTGGAGTGCAGTGGTGCAATCTCAGCTCACTGCAAGCTCCGCCTCCCAGGTTCACGCCATTCTCCTGCCTTAGCCTCCCGAGTAGCTGGGACTACAGGCGCCTGCCATGACGCCTGGCTAATTTTTTATATTTTTTAGTAGAGACGGGCTTTCAACCTGTTAGCCAGGATGGTCTCAATCTCCTGACCTTGTGATCCACCTCCCTCAGCCTCCCAAAGTGCTGATATTACAGGCATGAGCCACCGAGCCTGGCCCAATTTTACTCTTTATTCTCAACCTTACAACCATCAGATACTCATGTACACAGAATAATAAAAATCAACTTTTTTTCCTTGAAGGCAATGTTTCGTCTTGTATTTTATAATATCTGTTCCACATTGCTGTGACAATGCTGTTGAAGTGCACCTTCCTTCTTTCACCAAAAGATCACCTGTGTGAATTTGAATAGATGGTCACTGGAGGGGACCAGCTTGGCACACTGGATTGAATTGTCTCTTTGCCTTTCAGGCAAAGTGGCTTTGAAAAGACTGAAAATAAAGTGTCTGCTGCTTAAGCAGATGGCTTGCCATGTAAATAGGACAATTGTTTGAAAATCCACATCGCATGAACTACAACTATTAAAATGTGAAATGCATGATGCAAATAGTGCACAAAAAATAGAATGAAAATGATCAATATAGCCATAAAAGACAGCCAAACTCCATTTTAGCAATAAAGTAAAATATAATCTGCTGTCAGGGAAGGTAATTTGAAGTACTTGAGATGTTCTTTAATTTAAAAATCCAAAAATATTTTTAGCTTTAGTTACTATAAAACATGTTTAAGCATTTTCCATTTGAAATAAAATTTTAATTTCATGCTTTGTCAGTTTAGTTTCCCTAAATAAACAGAAAATAGTAAAATATCGCATACTAAAAAAATCAACTTCTTTGGTAATAAATCAGTTCAACTGTCAGACCAAAACATAGTTACATTTTACCCAATGTCATGCTGACCAATTTGATCAAATGCCACTTCCTTATAACTAAGAGGGATGCAAAGATGTAGATTTTATGTTGAGTGAGACAGGTAAGGATTACTAGGAGTTAGATAATTGTTTTACTAATAAAGGTCGATTTTCATTACTATTTTGTTTCTATGTTAATTAATGGTCTTGATTCAAGAATTTTTTTTAAAAAACTCATCTTCTCAGTCAGGCAAAATATTAACAAAAAGGAATAGAAATGAAGGCATTTAACACAGTCATAGTTTACATTTTAAAATTAAAATATTTCTAGAAATAACAAAAAAAGAAAAAATATAAAAACAAATGAACTTAATTTTTGGTGCAAAGCACTCATTACTAAGCCTAACACAAATATTTTGGTAAAGGCTTTCTGACACTGACATTCTTCTCCTGACTTAAAAGAGCCACTAATTTTACTTTTGACATATATTTAGTTTTAATGTTAAAAGCTAAAAGGAGCCTATTATTTTATTTATAATTGGTGGTCTGCATGTACATCGCCATCCATTGAGTCGACTAAAGTTTCTCAAAACTTCAGAAACAGTAACATAAGAATACTTTTTCCAGCCATGCATGGTGGCTCACGCCTGTAATCCCAGCACTTTGGGAGGCCGGGGTGGGGGGAATCACCTGAAGTCAGGCATTCGAAACCAGCCTGATGAACCTGGTGAAACACCATCTCTACTAAAAATACAAAATTAGCTGGGCGTGGTGGCACATGCCTGTAACCCCAGCTACTCCTTCAATGACCACATGTGAAGTTTCTTTTGAACTAATTATAACTACCTATTTTTATTGCTTTTTTGCTCCTATTAGAAAAAAATATTAAAGTTCCTGTTACTACAAACACAATCTATTCAAATCTAAGCATAGTGCTTATCTTAAAAGATCTATATGCTTGGAATTATGGAAATCCTATTCTCCATTTAAAATACTGCTTTTCAGTAAGCCAAATGGGGCAACTGTGGCTCACAATCATAAGTTATTAAATATTAATACCATCATCTAGTTGGAACTTTTAGTTATCTGCATGTTCAAATGGTTTTAACTTATAATAAGTCAGAAACTATAATTTTTTATAAACTATAAAAATAAACAAAAAATATATTTATCAATGCATTTTTTTTCAGTTTTAAAATACTTAGCCCCAGGATTATTTCTAGTTGACATAACACTAGATTTCAGATGATGTGGATGTAGAAACTAGAAACGTCCTGGTTGACTCTGCTTCACTTTCTGCCTTCATTTAGCACACAAACATAGCAGCACAACGAAAGCCAGCAATGCTACCCCTTTTGAAAAGCACACCAGTGCCCTTCTAGGGAGAATATATGTGTGAAAAGATGCATCTGAAAGTCAGGCCATGTTCTCTTTTATTTACAGACTTATATATGACAAATAATACAAATAAAAATTTAACACTGCCAT
The DNA here is from genome assembly GCF_000001405.40 of Homo sapiens. Lineage (NCBI taxonomy): Eukaryota > Metazoa > Chordata > Mammalia > Primates > Hominidae > Homo > Homo sapiens. Next base: position 15,315,142 of record NC_000022.11, read on the forward strand.
ATAATCAGAAAATTATTCTAAAAATTCCTTCTGACACATTATTCTTTTTCACCAAAATGGTTGTGATGAAATGATTGCCTTTGCAAGACGGTTGTCTTAAATAACCAATACTCCCGTTTCATTGTTCTTGAACTTTAACCATAACGCTTTCATGCTTTTTCTAGAAATTTTATTTCCTAATTATGTCACTTAGGTATGATTACCATAGCTTCATATTTTCAAAAACGGTTCTAAAAAAACTTAAACCACTGACCATCTTTGTTTCCCAAAGGAGTAGACTAATAAATTAACACTATCATCTAGCATACTGTAAATAGATGAAAAATAATGATGTAGAGCAGGCGTGTTCAATCTTTTGGCTTCCCTGGGACACACTAGAAGAACTGTCTTGAGCCATACATAAAATACACCAATGATGATAAAAAAAATCACAAAAAACTCATAATGCTTTTAGAAAGTTTATGAATTTGTTTAGGGCTGCACTGAAAGCCATATTGGGCCACATGCAGCCTGTAGGTCATGAGTTGGACAAGCTTGATATACTGTCATTTATTTTAGCTGCACACTCAAGACTAAGGCCAAGGGCTTTCAGAGAAAATAGCGTATAGGATGTCAGGAGACCTGTTATAGAAACATTCACCCCTATGTCTAAAGGGGACAAAATTCTATGTCTTCCACCCTTAATTCCAACCATTAACCAAAACTGGAGAAATCTAACACGGCATTATATCACAAAGTACTTTATTATTTTTATTTTGGATTCAAGGATACATGTGCAGATTTGTAACATAGGTATACTGCATGACATTGGGGTTTGGGCAATTAATAATCCCATTGCCCAGGTAGTGTACATTATACATGATAAGTACTTTTTAACCCTTGTACCCCTTCTCCCTCCGTTTTGGAATCCTTAGTGTTTATTGTTCTCATCATTGCTTCCGTGTGTACCCAATGTTTAGCTTCCATTTATAAGTGAGAAAAAGTAGTATTTGGTTTTCTGTTCTGTGTTAATTTGCTTAGGATCATGACCTTGAGTTGCACCCATGTTGCTGCAAAGAGTATTACAAGATTCTTCTTCAGTGGCTGCATAGTATTGGATGGTGTGTAATTACCTAATTTTTAAAATCCATCTTAAGATTTATGAGCACATGGTTTCATTCCATGTTTTTGCTATTGTGACTAGTGCTGCAATAAACATACGAGTGCAGTGTATTTTTGGAAGAAAAATTTATTTGTATTTGGGTATATGCCCAGTAGTGAGGCTGCTGGGTCAAATGGTAACTTTAGTTTTAGTCATTTGAGAAATCCCCAAAATGCATTCTACAGGAGCTGAACTAATTTGCATTCCCACTAAGTATATCAGGGTTCTCTTTTCTACACAATTTTAATATCTGTTTTTTTTTTTTTTTTTTTACTTTTTAATAATAGTCATTTAGACTGGGGTGAGATGGTATCACATTGTAGTTTGGATTTACATCTCTCTAATCATTAGAAATGTTGATCCATTTTTCATATGTTTGATGGCTGCTTTTCTTGTCTTTTAAAAGTATATGTTCACATTTTTTGTCAATATTTTTTCTTAAATTCCTTATAAAACATATATATTAGTTATTTGTTGTATGCAGTTTACACATATTTTAGCCCATACTGTAGGTTGTCTGTTTATTTTGTTAATAGTTTCTCTTGCTGTGCAGGTCACAATTTTTATTTTTTATTTTTGTTGCTTTCACTTTTGAGGATGTAGTCATTAATTCTTTACAGAGACCAATGCCAAGGAGAGAATTTTCTAGGTGTTCTTTTAGGATTTTTATAGGTTGAACTCTTACAGATATGTCTTTATTGTATCTTGAGTTAATTTTCCATATCATGAGTCGAGTTTTCCTCTTCTGCATATGACTAACCAGTTTTTCCAGCACCTTTTATTGGGTAGGGAGTTCTTTCCATTTGTTTCTGTTGATGCTGTCAAAAATCAATTAATTGTAAGAGTTCAGCTTCATTTCAGGGCTCTCTCTTCTGTTCAATAGGGATATGTGTGTGTGTGTATCTGCATCCATATTATATTGATTACCGTAACTTGTGGTAAAGTTTGAAGTTTGGTAACATAATGTCTCCAGGTTTATACTTTTTGTTTAGTATGGCCTTGGCTATTTGAGCTTTTTTGTTTACATATAAATTTTAGAATAGTTTTTTTGTCTAATTTTATAAAAAATGGCATTGGTAGAGTGATAGAAATACAAATAAACTGTCAATTGCTTTGGGCAGTATGAAATTTTTAATAATTCTAATCCATTAGCATGAAATACTATTCCATTTATTTGCACTGTGCCTGATTTCTTTCAGTAGTGGTTTGTAGTTCTTCTAGTAGAGATATTTAACCTCCTTTGTTTAATGGATCACTATTTTATTTTTTGTTTCTGGCTATTGTAAACTGGATTGTGTTCTTAATTTTGCTCTGCTTAAGTGTTACTGGTGTATAGAAATGTTCCTCATTTTTGAATGTTGTTTTGCTTTTTGTTGTTGTTGCTGAGATTTTGCTGAAGTCTTTTATTAGGCTTAGGAGTCTTTTGGAGGAGTCTTTGAAGTTGGTAGAAAATTATAGCATCAGTAAAGACAGATAAGTTGATTTCCTTTTCTCTTATTTGAGTGCTTTTCCTTTCTTTATCTTGCCTGATTGTTCTGGCTAAAACTTTCAGGACTATGTTGAATAGGAGTGGTGGAAGTGCACATTCTTTTCTTATTTCAGTTTTTAGGAAGGATGCATTAATCTTTCGCCTGTTCAGTATGATGTTGGCTGAGGATTTGTCTCATGTGGCTGTTATTATTTTGAGGTATGTTCCTTCAATGCCTAGTTTTTTGAGAATTCTTTTCATAAATAGATATTACATTTTATTAATTGCTATTTCCACATCTATTGAGGTAATGTGGTTTTGTTTTTAAATTATTTTTATATGTTGAATCACATTTATAGATTGCACATGTTAAAACATTCCTGCATTCACAGAATAATGTCCACATAGTTGCAGTGAAATAACTTTGATTTCCTGACTCAGTTTGCAAGCATTTCATGAATAATTTTTGTGTCTGTATTCATCAGGGATATTGGCCTGTAATTTTTTGTGTGTGTCTTTACCTGATTAATATATCAAGATGAGACTGATATGATAGAATTAATTAGGAAGGAGTCCCACTTTGATTTTTTGGAATACTTTCTGTAGAATTATAGCTGACTCATTTTTGTATACATGATAAAATCATGCTGTGAATGCATCTGGTTTAGCACTTTTTATAATTGGTAGATTTTTTTTATCACCAATTCAATTTGCTTACACATTTTGGTTTCTTCAAGATTTGTTTATTCCTGATTCAATCTTGGGAGGTTGTATATTTCTAAGAGTTTATTCATTTCCTCTAGACTTTCTAGTTGGTGTGCACAGAGATATATATAGTAGTCTGCAAGTATGTTTTGTATTTTTGTGGGATTGGTTGTCACAAATGTAACATTCAAATAGATGTATAATGAAAGTGTAACAAAATTCAATATCTCCTCATAATAAATCTCTTGAACTAGTTATAAAATAAATGAAATTCAAGGTAATGTCGTGTGTAACAAAAATGCACACCTAATATACTGAATAAGGAAAAACTGTAAGCCTTTTCTCTAAGAGCTAGAACAAGACAAGGATGTCCAATTTCTCCAATCCTTTTTTTTTTTTTTTTTTTTTGAGATGGAGTCTCACTCTGTTGCCTAGGCTGGAGTGCAGTGGTGCAATTTTGGCTCACTGCAAGCTCTGCCTCCCAGGTTTACACCATTCTCCTGCCTCAGCCTCCTGAGTAGCTGGGACTACAGGTGCCCACCACCACACCAGGCTAATTTTTGTCTTTTTAGTAGAGACGGGGTTTCACCTTGTTAGCCAGGATGGTCTTGGTCTCCTGACCTCGTGATGCATCCACCTCTGCCTCCCACAGTGCTGGGATTACAGGTGTGAGCCACCACACCCAGCCCAATTTCTTTGATCTTACTGAACATAATACAAAATGACCAAGACAGAAAAATTATTCAATAAAATCAAAACAACCTTAAATAAAATGAAGAAGATAAATTATATTTTCCTTGCAGATGATATAATCTTAAGTATAGAAAAACCTAGGACTTCACAAAAAATTATTAGAATAAACAAATTTATTAAACTTGCAGGATACAAAATCAACATAAAAAATTCAGTAATATTTCTATACACTAACAATAAAGTATCTGAAAATAAAACCAAAAAAAATCCCATCTACAATAATTGCAGCAATAACTATACTTAGAAATGAATGTAACCAAAAAGGTGAAAGATCTGTACATTATAATCTAAAAAAAAGTTAGAAAATAGTATTCAAACAAAAAGATATTTCTAATTCATAAATGGGCATGATTAATATTGTTAAATATCAGCATTACACAAGCTGATATACAGATATAATAAAACTTCTATTAAAATACCAGTTAAATTCTCCACAGAAAGGTTTTTAAAAAATCTAAAATGTATATTGCCCCACAAAAGGCCTTAATAGCTAAGAAAATCAAGCAAAAAATGAAAAATAAAAGGCTGAAGGAATCACTCTACCTGACTTTTAAATGTCCAACAAAGCTACAGTAATCAAAACAGAGTGTTACTTACATAAAAATGGACACAAAGGCCAGCAGAGCAAAAGAGAAAGACCAGAAATAAATTCATGTATTTACAGACAACTGATTGTAAATAAAGATGATAATTTTTTTTAAAAAAAACAGTCTCTTTTATAAATGATGTTGAGAAAATATATATCCACATGCAAAATAATAAAATCAGACCTTCATCTCACACCATATATAAAAATTAACTCAAATTAGATACTTAAATATGAGACCTGAAAATCTAAAACTAAGATGAGGAAATATAGAATGAATGCCTCATAACATTGGTCTGGGCAGTGACTCTTGGGTTTCACCTCAAAATTTTAGGGGGAAAAAGACAAATCAGATTCCCTAAAATTAAGAAGTTGCTGCACACCAACAGATACAATCAGCAGAATGACATAACTGAAAAATGGAAGAAAATATTTGCAAATTACACGTGAAAAGCAGTTAATATCAAAAATATATAAGAAACTCAAAGGACTATACAACAAAAAACAAATAACCATGAAAAATAAGCAAAAGATCTATATAAATAATTTTCAAAGAAAGACATACATATAGCTTGGCAGATAGATGAATATGGCTCAAAGTCAATTATCATCAAGGAAAGGCAAACCAAAACAACTCTAAGATATAAACTCACTCCTGTTAAAATGCTTAAAAAAATTGTTGGTAAACTTGAAAAAAGAGAAAGAGGGGAGCTTTCACACTGTTTGTGTCAATGTAAATAAAAACAGCCATTATGAAAAATAGAAATTTTGCAAAACAATTAAACTCTAACATGTAATTGAACTATTGGATATCTATTACAACACAAATGAAACTAGATTGATGAACAGACATCTGCAATTCAGTTTGTTGCAGCACACTTTACAGAAGCCAAAACATAGAATCAACATATGTGTCCATCATTCAATGACGAAATGCAGACACTATGGTATATATATACAATCAAATAGTGTATTTTCAACAGAAAATCTTATTTTTAATCACAAAGATAAACCTAAAGGACACTATGGTTGTTGAAATAAGGCACAGAAAGGTTAATATCTCATGATTTCACTCACATGTGGATTCTACAAAACGTATCTTGATTACATAATTACAATTGGATAAGAAAAATAAGTTCAAGAGATTATAATGCATGTATTGTATTTCTGAAAAAATACTAAGACAGTAAATGTTGTCTTCTCGCCACAAAAATAATAACAATGTGAGGCAAAGCATTTGACAATTACCTAAAATTAGGCATCGACAATGTATATTTACTTCAAAATACTATTTTACAAAATAAATACATATTTCATCAGTGAATTTAAAAATATATTTATAAAAACTATTAAAAATGACAATGTTTCAAATTCTGACCTGTGTTTTTGTCGTAAACCTGTCTGAATAGTATGAAAGATACAGTTTCTGTGCTGTTTTGTCACCTAGTCAGTCATGACCATATGAACTCTAATATTTACCACCATGTTCGGGAACCAGCACAGAGCATGGGAGAAGCCAATGTACCTTAGGGCTTTTATTTTGAGCTTGGGACAACTGGAGTTTCTGGTGCTGGTGGTAATGATAGGGAAGACACAAAAAGGGCAGCTCTTGCTGTGTTTCACATGATTAAACCACTCTGAAGAGAGTAAATAAGTTTGCATCCCAGACCACTGAAGACATTTTTTAACTCAAAAGATGCCATGATCTTTAAAATTTTTCGAGATAAAATGACCAAGGAGTTGACTAGTTAGGTGACAAAGACTGAAACCTCTAAATTGTAAACTGCACCCAATAAAAAAGTACATTATACAAGTGTGAGAAATTCCTCAAGATTTTAACATTAATATGAAAAAGATTATTTCACAAGTGAAATCCACAGGTGTCATTCTATTATTTTCGAATATTTAACATTCACACCAAAATAAAAGATTCTGAATGAAAACTTAAGTTGAGCTGTAAGTATGTAATAAAAAATTAAATTTAACATTCTCCACTTAACATTAACTCTTCTAAAAGTTTAATTTCTAAGACATATCTTCTAACTAATTTTATATTTTCCATACCTTGTGTTAATTTTTTTTTTTTTTGAGATGAAGTCTCACTCTATCATCAGGCTGGAATGCAGTTGCACAATCTCAGCTCACTGCAACCTCTGTCTCCTGGGTTCAAGCGATTTTCCTGCCTCAGCCTCCTGAATGGCTAGGTCAACATGTGCATGCCACCATGCCCAGCTAATTTTTGTATTTTTAGTGGAGATGGGGTTTCACCATATTGTCCAGGAAGGTCTCAACTTCTTGACCTAGTGATTCTCCCACCTCAGCCTCCCAAAGTGCTGGGATTATAGGTGTGAGCTACCACACACAGACTGTGTTAAAATTTGATAAAAGTTTGGTTTTACAAAGACAAGAAATTCTGACTGATTTATTCCTCTCACCTGTGAACACTCCATGCCTTTTATCTCAATTAACAGATCTGAAAGTTACATTGACAAACTTTCATCAGAACCTACAAAGTACTGTGTGAAGTGGCATGGCACAAAACAAACAGCAATAAAGATGTAGCCATAACACAAAGAATAAAAAGAAGGGCTGTGATGCATACACAGTTGGGATAAACATAAGTAGACACACAAACAAAACTAAAGATAATCAGAAAATAAGCAGAATGTCTCTTTAAATTCAGAAAGAGACAATTTTGCAGCATAAGAACAGTGTCCTCTCCATATACAGAATTGATTTTCTTTCTTCACCATGCGTATTTCTTTATTTTTACTTGGAGCTACAAACTAACTCCAGCAGAAATATTTGTGGCCAATAATGGTGCATCAGCAAGCATTGTGTTTGCTACATTTACATATCAAAATATCTTTATGACTTATGAAGCCTCCCCAGTATTTACCTAAACAAATTGGCTGAATGAATAAATTAACCTATGTCAATTATAAAGAGTAAAAGGAACAATAATAAAGGAAACTTAGCTTACACAGGCTTCTCCAATTAAAATAACAAAATGGGATGTTCTAACTAAATGAAATATAAGTTGGTCAGATGCAGTGGCTCATGCCTGTAATCCCAGCACCTTGGGAGGCCAAGGAGGGTGGACCACCAGGTCAGGAGTTCAAGGCCACTCTGGCCATTTATAGTGAAACACTGTCTCTACTAAAAATACAAAAACGTTAGCTGGGCATGGTGACACATGCCTGTAGTCCCAGCTACTTAGGAGGCTGAGGCAAGAGAATTTCTTGAGCCCAGCATGTGGGGGTTGTAGTGAGCTGAGATCCCACCACTGCACTCTAGCCTGGGCGACAGAGTGAGACACCATCTCAAAAAAAAAAAAAAGAAAAAAGAAAGCAACAAAAGAAATATAAGTTAATACACTCATTGTGAAATAACATTGAAAAATTATTTTGCGTGCATTAGTAAATTTTATAAAAATTCTTAGAATACCTGAGCAACTCACATAATGAATACTTAATAAATTATAAACACAAAAAATATGAAAAAAATATCAGTCTACCATGAGTACCAGGCACATGAAAGAAAGAATTTGCATGGAAAGATTCGGAAAAGCAATCCATAAGACTTCACAGTAATTAATTAAATAAAATACAGAGAATACAGATATTCAAAATCACTGAGGTTTCTCATCTTCTAGTAAACTATTTGTCCACTTTATTAAAGCGATATTTTGTTCCAATATTTCTTGTCTTCTGAAAATAGGTACACTCACACTCACACAATTACTTGCCCCACAATTTTCTTACACATAATGTTTATCTTAAGAGTAATATATTTGTATATTTAGCATCACATAAGTAAAAACTAACAGTCTGTATGAGTTTACAGGCAGAGAGGCCACTTGTTCAAAATATATATGACCAATTTTTAAAAATATTTATTCAGGACTTAGAAATGTGAGATTTCTTATTATACTACTATGTAATTATTATTATGACCATAAAAAAACCTCTGTAGCAAGTAATAATTTACTTGTACATTTTAAAACAACTAAAAATGTTTAATTGGATTGTCTGTAACACACACAAAACATGCATTACGTAATGAATACCTCATTTACTCTGATGTGATTACAAGTTGTATGCCTGTATGAAAATATTCTATAAATGCCATAAATAGGTAAACAATACTATGTTCCTACAAAAATTTAAAACGTTAAACAAATGTACATTTTACCCATTGAAACAATACTCTTAAACCTTTCAGTTTAATGCCACAGGCAAAAGAGATTGCTAGAGAGGTCATTCTACTATGTTACCATCTTTTATCTACATCTTTAACAAGGTGGGACACGTTAAAGTTGGTGACATAGCACTTTACTAAATGCAGGTCTTAAAAAGTTTAAAACTATTTCATTTAATTTAAAAGCTAAGTTATCACAGTCTTATAAAAGAATTTTAAAATTCCCTACATTTTATTGCATAAAAGTACAATTGGTAAAACAATTTACTACTAAAACAAAGTTTTCCTCTCACTATAATGCAGAATATCACTCTAAACACATAACTCATGTATCACATGAACAATGTTAAAAGTCAGACATAAAGAGCCTCTCCAATTAGATTTTCAATATGCATCTTACATTTTAATATCCTTACTCTTCCATGGAAAAGTTAATGAATGATGCCTACCTAATAAGAAGGGAATTTCTCAGATTTCTGATGCAACAGAAATTGATGACATGCTTTTACACAAACAACAGGAAAAAAGGAACAGCATGAAGCAATTTTACAGTTGAATTACCTTACTATTTGCTTTTCAAAAAATCTACATTTTTTTCAAGGAAAAACGTATACCTTGAATGTAATTATAACTCCAAAAAATAATCTTCCACTCCTCTTAAACTTATATACAAATAAATTATCCAACAGTTTTAGCTTTGGATTACTTTCTATACAGAACATTCTGATTTAGTGTAACGTCTTAAGTGCCAGTGCCTTAGTTCTACCTACTGTGAATTTTCTAAAGTTTACAAAGACTTAATTTTGACTAAATATTTTTACACATGTGTTCCCTCTGCAAAAATATCTTTTATTATAAACTGTGTGGTGTTTTGTAAGCTGTATTTTCTGAAAAAATGTTTTTCCACATTTATTACATTTGTATGGTTTCCTTCAATATAAATTCTCTGATGCTGAACAAGTTTGAGTAATTCCATTAGAGTTTTCTTCTACCATAAAATCTGTACATTATATAGGGCAAGTAAAGGTATTACAACCCTCTTTATATTTGTAATATTTGTCTCCAGAATACTCTTTTTTCTTTAAGGGTTTAAATTTTCCAAGGTCTTTCAAAAGTAATTACATTTATAATAATTTTATTAAGTATGAACTTACTGATGTTGACTATGATGTGAGCAGATAGAAATGGCTTTTCCACACTCTGTATAATTTTTCAAGTATAAATGCTTTTATGTGTCATGAGGTATGAGCATGTCAGAAGTTTTGACACATTCTTTGTTTGTAGAGATTTTCTCCACTATCAATTATTTTGCCTACAGTAAGATGTGACAACCATTTAAAAGCCTTGCCACATTGTTCAGTTTTCTGAGGTTTCTCACTGATATTTCTCCAATGCTTAGGAAAGTTTGAGGTGTATTCATAAGCTCTGCCAAACTTTTTTAGGTTCATAGGCATAATCTTTAGTATGAATTACGGATGGATATATTTGAGCAATACTTAAAAGATTTTGCCACAGTCTTATGATTTGAATGATTTTTTTCCAGTATGAATTCTCATAAGTTTAATAAGGCATAAGGACTGGTTAAAGGCTTTCCCACATTCTTTACATTTGTGGGATTTCTCTTCAGTATGAACTGTCTTATGTCGAGTAAACTTGAGGAACAAGAAAAAGTTTTGCCACATTCTTGACATTTGTAGGGTATCTCTCCAGTATGAACTCTCTTATGTTTAGTAAAGCTTAAGGACCAGTAAAAGGCTTTGCAACATTCTTCACATTTCTGGATTCCTCTCCAGTATGAATTCTCTTATGTATAGTAAGGCCTGAAGACTGCTTAAAAAGCTTTGCCACATGCTTCATATTTGTAGGGTTTCTCTCCAGTATGATTTCTGTTATGTTCATTCAGTTTTGAGGAGTGTTTAAAGACTCTGACATATTCTTCACATTTATAGGGTTTCTCTTCAGTATGAATTCTCCGATGTATAGGAAGCTCAGAGGACCACTTAAAAGCTTTGCCACATTCTTCACATTTGTACAGTTTCTTTTCAGTATGAACTATCGTATGCTTAGTAAGGCTTGAGGAGCAGTAAAAGCCTTTGCCACATTCTTCACATTCGTAGGATACCTCTCCACTATGAGTTATCTTATGTTCATTCAGTTTTGAGGATAGTTTAAAGACTTTGCCATATTCTTGATATCTGTAGGGTTTCTCTCCACTATGAATTATCTTATGTACATTAAGGTCTAAAGACTTCTTAAAAGCTTTGCCACATTCTTGACATTTGTAGTGTTTCTCTTCAGTATGAACTATGTCATTTTGAATAAGGTTTGAGGAACAGTAAAAGGCTTTACCACATTCTTCACATTTGTAGGGTTTCTCTTCAGTATGAATTCTCTTTTGTATAGTAAGCCCCAAAGACTGCTTACAAGCTTTGCCACATTCTTCACATTTGTAGGGTTTCTCTCCCGTATGAATTCTCTTGTATGAATTATCTTGTGTATAGTAAGGTTTGAAGACCACTTAAAAGCTTTGCCACATTCTTGACATTTGTAGGGTTTCTCTCCCCTATGAATTATCGTATGTTTAGTAAAGCTTAAAAATCAATAAAAGGCTTTACCACATTCTTCGAATTTGTAAGGATTCTCTCCAGTATGAATTCTCTTATGTAGAGTAAGGCCTGAAGGTTGTTTAAAAGCTTTGCCACATTCTTTGCATTTGTAGGATTTCTCTCCAGTATGAGCTCTCATATGTTCATTCAGTTTTGAGGATTGTTTAAAGGCTTTGCCACATTCTTCACATTTGTAGGGTTTCTCTCCACTATGAATTATCTGATGTATAGTAAGGTCTGAAGACCACTTAAAAATTTTGCCACAATCTTTACATTTGTAGGGGTTGTCTCCAGTATGAACTATGTTATGTTGAGTAAGGCCTGAGAAACAGTAAAAAGCTTTGCCACATTCTTCACATTTATAGGGTTTCTCTCAAGTATGAATTCTTTTATGTTCTTTCAGTTTTGAGGATTTTTTAAAGGCTTTGCCACATTCATCACACTTGTAGGATTTCTCTCCCATATGAATAATCTTATGTATAGTCAGAGTTGAAGACTACTTCAAAGCTTTGCCACATTCTTCACATTTGTAGGGTTTGTCTTCAGTATGAACTATGTTATGTTGAGTAAGGGTTGAGGAATAGGAAAAGGCTTTGCCACATTCTTCACATTTGTAGGTTGTGTCTCCAGTATAAATTTTCTTATGTTTATTCAGTTTTGAAGATTGTTTAAAGGCTTTGTCACATTCTTCACACTTGTAGGGTCTCTCTTTAGTATGAATTCTCTCATGTATAGTAAGATCTGAAGACTGCTTAAAATCTTTGCCACATTCTTCACATTGGTAGGGTTTCTCTTCAGTATGAATTATCTGATGTTGTCTTAGGTGTGAGAACCTGTGAAAGAATTGGCCACATTCTTTACATTTGAAAGGTTTCTCTCCAGTATGTCTTCTCCTAAGTCTATTTGAATTTGAAAATTTCCTAAAGACTTTCACACATGTATTACTTTGAAGTATTTTGCTCTGAGTAATCAACAAACATTGGTTAAGTCCATTATAACCTCCTTCCTGCACCTTAGATGCATTCAAACTTTTACAACCTTTTATTTGTAAATTCTCATGTCTGCATTTCCCATATCTTCTCATCATCACTTTTTGAAATGAATTTTTTATGTTCTGATCTAGCCAAAGGTCTTGGGTGAAATGAGAACACGGCTGAAAGAAATAAAAATAACAAATTATCTCACTAGGCCCATGTAAATATACAAATCTATTGTTTACAAATCTAATACATAAAATTATACAAAGTACATTAGCAACATGGCATAACAAAAATACCACAGGTCCTAATTCTTTTATAGCCTTATAACAAAACTGTACTGACCAAAATGTCTTTATGGAAAATCTATAAATGAATTAAGTGTGTTCAGTGTACCAGTTGAACAAAATGCCACAAGCCACACTGAATGGATAGAAAAGTTTGTTACGTTTGCCCAACACCTTTCCTCCTCCATAATGCAGCATGGCACTTTTAGAAGTAAACTGCAATGCCTGGCATCTTCCTCAACATAGAAAAAAAAACACTGGCTCATGTATTTTTACTTCTGGCTTCTGGGCACTTTTATAGAGATTTGTTTCTGTCTCCAATGACAAAATGTGCTGAAAGAAATGATGGTATACTTTGAAATAACAGCTTGAGTCTGCTGAGAAGAAAGGTAAATGTTACAGCAACAAACTACAGTACCACAGACATGCAATACATACAGGAAGTAATTACAGACTGTTAAGAAACACAGGCAAACCCCTTTAAATAAATAATCAACACAAAATTCCACACAAGACACATCATAACATATTTGATAGGCTCCCAGAATCTCTAGTAGAGACAATTGGTTTCAGACTATGTTAGGACAACACAGCATTATAAAGATTGTGACAGGTACCTGTTTGTTAATGTCCAAATCTCAACCAAAGAGTACAATACATACAAAATATTACAGTGACATGGCCTAAGTAAAAAAAAAAAAACAGAAAAAAACCCTCAAAACTGTCAGAAGACAACCATGAAAATGAAGGCATACACTTTAATTTTAAAAATTTAACTTACATGGGAACACAGGTAACTAAATAAAATCAGGAAAATATATAATATCAAGGAAAAGATGAAAAATATAATAGAAATTATAGAAGTAGAAAATAGAAATAGAAATATTGACTGAGGCCAGCTGTAGTGGCTCATGTCTGTAGTCCCAGCACTTTGGAGTTTGAGGCAGGCAGATCACTTGAACCTTGGGAGTTCAAGTTTAAACTGGGAAACATGGCAATACTTCTCTTCTATAAAAATTAAAATTAGTCAGGTGTATTGGCACACACCTGTGGTCCCAGTAAACAGGAGGCTGAGTTAGGAGGACCACGTAAGCCTAGGGAATCCAAGGCTGCAGTAAGCTGCAATCATGCCACTGTACTCAAACCTGGGTGACAGAGCAAGACACTCTCTCAAAAAATTAAGAATACCTGAGAAATTCTCAAAAGTAAGAAAATAAGGTTGTAAAAATGAAGAAGCTCAACATACTAAAACTAGGAAACTCACAGATCCATAACAAGATATGCAAAGCAAAGCTCCCAAAGTCACAGACAAGAAGAGAATCTCAAATGCTGGAAAATACATAATTATGGTTCTATGATATAACCAGTGACTCTTTTAACAAAAACCTTACAGGCCAGAAGGAAATTGTGTGCTATAGTCGAGGTGCCAAGTGAAAAATAGCGTCTATGTAAGAATAAGATAACCAGCAAAACAGTGCTACAAAAATGAAGAAAAAGGAAAGACCTCTAAAGATAACCAAATGTGGAAAAATTATATCAATGCTACATGTGCCCTACAAAAAATGCTGAGAAGAGTCCTCCTACTAAAACTATATGATGCTAAAAAACAAAACTATCATATAAAAATAGGTAGTTTTCTAGGAAAGATATAAAGATATGCAAATATTATAGAAAAATATCCTGTAGCATTATCATAATACCAAAAAATGTCTTATTTAATTATTCTCTAAAATTTAAAGATAAAAGCTAAAAATAATAATGAGCATCTGTTAACAGATATATAACATAAATAGATATGTTTAGTGACATCAATAACTAAGTTGAGGACAGATGTAATAAGAAATAATTTGTGCATGAACCCGAATTTAAATTTCACCACTTCAAAATATATTGTTGAAATTTTAAGAGGTTTTTATATAATCCTGAAGACACCCACAAAGAAAATGTCTGTATAGATACAAAAAAGGAAGTAAGAAAGAAGTGACAGCCTATCCATACAAAAATTAAAAAGGACACAAAGGAAGATAGAATGAGAAACAGACATACAAGAATCATTAAACAATAAAATAACAATAATCTTTTTCTTCAGAAAATAAATATTTTAAAAATAGATTTGCCAATCAATACACATACATTGAATAGAGAGATTATACAAAATTTTATATACCAAGATCCAACTTGCCTTTCTTCAAGAGTCACTTGAGATCTATACATTGTAAGTCAACAACTCTCTTATTTTATAAAATATATTTTATGTCAAAATTCACAAGAGAAAAAAGGTCTTTAAACAATAATAAAGATATCATTTATTGAAAACGTATGACAAATATGTGCATACATATATTTATATGTTTGCGTGTGTATGTGTATTTCTCACATTAGGTTTCCAAAAATACAAAGCAAAAATTGACCGAATGAAAGCAACAAATAGAGAGCAATATAATTATAATAAGATATTTTAATACTTCAATTTCTGCAACGAACAATAAAACAAAACAATATTAATAATGGAAAAGGGGTCCAGGTACGGTGGCTCACGCCTGTCATCCCAGCACTTTGAGAGGCCAAGGCAGGCGATCACGGGGTCAGGAGATGGAGACCATCCTGGCTAACACGATGAAACCCGGTCTCTACTGAAAATACAAAAAAATTAGCAGGGCATGTTGGCAGGTGCCTGTAATCCCAGGTGTTCAGGAGGCTGAGGCAGGAGAATGGCATGAACCCAGGAGGTGGAGCTTGCAGTGAGACGAGATCGCACCACTGTACTCCAGCCTGGGTGAGAGCAAGACTCTGTCTCAAAAAAAAAAAAAAAAAAAAAAATGGAAAAGAGAAACTGAAAGCAGTACAGATGGGAACAAGTGGCTCATGCTTGTAATTCCAGCACTTTGGGAGGCCAATGAAGACAGATTACCTGAGGTAAGGAGTTTGAGACCAGCCTGGCCAACATGGCAAATCCCCATCTCTACTAAAAATAGCCAGATGCGGTAGCAGGCGCCTGTAATCCCAGCTACTCAGGAGGCTAAGACAGGAGAATTGCTTGAACCAGGGAAGTGGGGTTTGCAATGAATCGAGATTGCGTCACTGCAATCTAGCCTCGGTGACAGAGCAAGACTCCATCTCAAAAAGAAAAAAATATACAAAAAAAGAAGTATAAAACAATATTATGCCTAACAACACCCCTTAACAATAGCAGGGTACAACCATTCTCAATAGCTCACATATATTCTCTTTGATAAACTGCCTGTTAGGCCATGATAAAAATAAAAACTTACTAAATCTTTAAAAATTGAAATTGATAGATTACTTTTTATGACCAAAATGGAATGAGAGTAGAAATCAACAAAAACAAAACTAAAAAATTTACAAATACATGAAAATTAAACAACACACTCTTCAGCATGATCAAAGGGTAAAATAATTAATATTCAGCGTGATCAAAGAGTAAAATAATTAATATTGTGAAGATGCCCATACTGCTCAGTGTAATCTACAGATTTAATGCAATCCCTTTCAAATATCTAATTTTATTTTAGAAGAAATAGAAAAAGCAACACCAAAATTATATGAAATTTTAAGAAACAATGAAACACCCAATAATCTTCAAAGAGAGGAACAACCTTGGAGGCATCACAACTCCCTGATTTCAAAACACATTGTATAGACTTAAAACAATTTGGTTTCGTTATAAAAAGTGAACTAGACCAAATAAACAGAATGTAGTATCATTATAAACTCTCACACATATAATCACAGGAAGAGTTATTTGCACATCCATAATTTTTTTTTTTTTAGATGGAGACTCGCTCTGTTGCCCAGGCTGGAGTGCAGTGTCACAATCTAGGCTCACTGCAACCTCCAGCTTCGAGGTTCATGCCATTCTCCTGCCTCAGCTTCCCAAGTAGCTGGGACTGTAGGTGCCCGCCACCATGCCCGGCTAATTTTTTGGTATTGTTAGTGGAGATGGGGTTTCACCGTGTTAGCCAGGATGGTCTCGATCTCCTGACTTTGTGACCCACCCATCTTGGCCTCCCAAAGTGCTGTGATTACAGGTGTGAGCCACTGCTCCCGGCTGCACATCCATAATTTTTACAGCATTGTTATTGACAGGCAATAGGTGAAAGCAATGCAAATTTTTCTCCCCAGATTACTGGATAAATATAATTTGAAACATAAAAATAATGGAATATTACTCAGTATTTAAAAACAGGAAATACAGGTGGGGCACACTGGCTCACACTTGTAATCCCAGAACTTTGGGAGGCCGAGGTGGGTGAATCACCTGAGTTTGGGAGTTCGAGACCAGCCTTTCCAACATGGAAAAACCCTCTCTCTACTTACAAAAATTAGCCGGGCATGGTGGTGCATGCCTGTAATCCAAGCCTCCTCTCAGGAGGCTGAGGAAGGAGAATGGCTTGAACTTGGGAGGCGGATATTGTGGTGTGCTGAGATCGCTGCACTGCACTCCAGCCTGGGCAACAAGGGTGAAACTCCGTCTAAAAAAAAAGGAAATATTCTAACAACCATAATAAACTTTCATGAAATTATGCAAAATAACATAGGTCAGCCACAAAAAATACTGTATGAATCCACTTACATGAGATATTTAAAGCAGTTAGACTCAAAAACAGGAAAACAGAATTGTTCATAAAGGGCCAGAAAATGGGAGAAATGAGTAGTTGTTTAATGTGTATTCAGTTTTAGTTTTGCAAGACAAAAACATTCTAGAGATATATTGTATAATAATGTCCAAATAATTAATATAAACTACACACTTCTTTTAAATTAAGATTCTAAATTTTATGTTCTTGATAATTAAAAATAAACAGTAATAATACCTAAAAAAGGGACTAAATTGATAGTTTTTAAAATTACCTTCAAATCAAAAAAGTGTTTCTCCTACACAAAAATAAATTCCCAAATAGATACTAGAAGTAGGAGAGTTTTTATGACTACTCAGATAAAACCATCATTGATCACTCACAAACATACAAGTCATAAACAATACAGAAATAATATGTGTATACACAAACAAATAAATTATTATATTAGTTATAGACATATGACTGATTCGTATTTAACTTTGGCTCCACACTGTCTTAAAGTGTACAGAGTTGAATATTGTCATTCACAATTATCATACAAAATAAAATCTAAAAACACAATTAACTGATGTGAGGTGGTGTACTCCAAAATATGAAACAAAAAAGAAATAAAATTGGTTGGGCGTGGTGGCTCACGCCTGTAATCCCAGCACTTTGGGAGGCTGAGGGGGGCGGATCACGAGGTCAGGAGATCGAGACCGTCCTGACTAACACGGTGAAACCCCGTCTCTACTAAAAAATACCAAAAATTAGCTGGGCATGGTGGCGGGCACCTGTAGTCCCAGCTACTCAGGAGGCTGAGGCAGGAGAATGGCGTGAACCTGGGAGGCAGAGCTTGCAGTGAGCAGAGATCGTGCCACTGCACTCCAGTCTGGGCGACAGAGCCAGACTCCATCTCAAAAAATATATATATAAAATAAAGTGAAATGAAATAAAATAAAATTGCAAAACAAAATGAAAACATGGAATGTTAAACTTACTGAACACCATTAACTAGATTACTACGTTTGGAAAAGAAATCTTAGAAGACAAATGTAGGGAAAAAGTAGTAGAGGGGTTATTTGAAGATAAAAGAGGATGAGAACTTTCCAAATTTTTATGTGATAAAAGAAAAACTAATACCAATCAATACTGTTTGCTTTGAAATTATTTGGAATTATTCTGGAATTAAAAATAAGGAAACAATAAAGAACTTACAAAATAAACAAAAGGTGAAGGTATTTATCACCACTGGCATGGTCCCACAAGAAATGCTACATGGTGGCCAGGCACCAGTGGCTCATGTCTGTAATCCCAGAGACTTGGGAGGCCAAGGCAGGCAGATTAGTTGAGGCTAAGAGTTCAAGATGAGCCTGAGTAACATAGTGAGATGCTGTTTATTTTTTTAATGCCCAAAAGAGTCCATATGTTGAAAAATATAATGATGCTGAACAGTATTAAAAAACTACATGAAACTATAAAGCTTTCTGTTAAATGTAAATATATAAACACATATACAATTGTTTACTACCATAATCATGAAGCAAAATTTCTGAAAATTCTGCTGTAGAATTTGAACAAAAAAATCTGCATAAATCTGTTAATAGACACACAATATAAAATAATATTTGTAATAATAAAAAACTACAGGATGTAAGCTTGGGTGCAATGGCTCATGCCTGTAATCCCAGCACTTTGGGAGGCCGAGATGGGTGGATCATGAAGTCAGGAGTTCAAGACCAGCTTGGCTAAGATGGTGAAACCCCATCTCTACTAAAAATATGAAAAATTAGCCAGTCGTAGTGGTGGGTGCCTGTAATCTCAGCTACTCGGGAGGCAGAGGCAGAGCATTGCTTGAACCTGGGAGGCAGAGGTTGCAGTGAGCCGAGATCACACCACTGCACTCCAGCCTGGGTGACAGAGTGAGACTCCATCTCAAAATCAAAACAAAACAAACAAACAAAAAAACCACTACAGGATGTAAAGAGGTATAGTTTTTGTATTCAACTGAAGTTATGACATAGTAATATAGTTATAACTTTAAAATGTTTACATAATCTCCAATTACCAAAATAATTACAAGTTTATAGAAAGTATGCAATACAAAATGAGAAAGGAAACAAAGCATAACACTACAAAATCAAAAAAGCAAAAATTAAGACAGTAAAATAGGAAATTATGGAAAACATCTCTACAAGAAACACAGAAAATAATAACAATCAAAATGGTAATAGTAACTTCATTTCTCTAAGGAATCATTTTAAATGTAAATTGATTAAACTAATAGTAAGAAATTAAATGGCTGAATGGAATAAGAACAAACAAAATTACACAATATGCAACAAATCACACAATATTCTTGTTTGAACTTGGTGTACTCTGTTAGGACATGTAACAAGCCTTATTAAGTTTAAGAAGACTAATCAGATGTGGTGGCTCATGCCTGTAGCCCCAGCACTTTGAGAGGCCAGGACTGGAAGATTGCTTGAGACCAGGATTTCAAGAGACTCACTTTAACTTTGAGTCAAATAGGTTGAAAGAAAGAGAATGAAAAAACATATTCCATGCAAAAGTATCCACAATTAAGTGAGGTGGTCATAATTATATTAAACAAAATATGCTGTAAATCAAAAACTAGCATGAGGTAAAGATTGTTACTATATAATGATAACATTGATCATTTACCAGGAATCTATAACTATGATATTTATTTAAAAGATCAGTGTTCCAAAATATATAAAGCTAATATTGACAGAAGTGAAGCAAAAAATACATAGCAACATAATAATTACAGACATTAAGACCCCACTTTAATAATGAGTGAAAGTTTAGATAAAACATCAATGAGAATAAAACCTGGATGACATTATAAATTGTATTAATTGATTTTGTATTGCAATAAGTACCTAAGACTGTGTAATTTATAAAGAAAAAAGATTTATTTTCTTCATAGTTATGCACAATGTACAATAAGTGTGGTGCCAGCTTCTGCATCTGGTGAGGGTCTAAGTAAGCTTACAATCATGATGAAGGCAAAGAGAAACCAGATATATTGCATGGGGAGAGAGAGAGCAAGCGTGAAAAGAAAGTGCCAGGTTCTTTAAGCACGCAGCTCTCATGTGAATTAACAGAGTAAGAACTCATTGATCACCAAGGGGATGGTGCAAAGTCATTTACAAGAGATTTTCCCCCATGACCCAAACACATCACACAAGGATCCACGTCCTACATTGGGAATCCCATTTCAACATGAGATTTGAAGGCTACAAACATCCAAATCATATCATAGACCAACTACAAATTAAAAATATGTACAGGAATCTCCAGTAAAAGGAACAGATCACACAATATTCTTGCTTGAACTTGGTGCATTCTGTTGGGACACATAAAAAGTATTATTAAGTTTAAGAAGACTGGCCAGGTGTGGTGGCTCATGCCTGTAGCCCCCAGCACCTTGGGAGAAAAAACCACTCGAGACCAGGATTTCAAAACCAGCCTTGGCAATATAGTGAGAACCCGCATTTCTACAAAAAAATCAAAAAACTAGCCAGACGTGACAGCACACGTATGTAGTCCCAACTACTTGGGATGCTGAGGTGGGAAGATTATTTGAGCCTCGGAGGTTGAGGCTGCAGTGAGCCAAGATTGTACCACTAGCACTCCAGCCTGAGTGGCACAGTGAGAATCTGTCTGTCAATAACAACAAAAATAAATAAATAACTTTAAGATGACCAAAATTATACAGTTATGTTTTCTGACTAAAATAAAATGATACTAGACATCAAAATCAAGAGATAAACTGGCAAATTCAAAAATATATGGAAATAAAACACACTCTTTAATATATTCTTGCTCAAGGTCCAGATAATTTAATCAAAATGTGAAAACAACTCACAGTGGTGAAGAAATTCCAATGGTACATTGTTGACCAGAAATATTGTTTAAAAATTTTTAAATTGATTATGAGCTAAAACTAGCCAAACACCCATGAAAAAGAACAAAGAGGCATTATATTTCCTGATTTTGAAGTATATTAAAAAGCAACAATAAACAAAAGCAATGTGGTACTAACAGAGACAAATAAACAGATGATGGAACAAAATATCCCAGAAATGAACCCTTCTTTATATAATCAAATAATCTTCCACAAAGTTGCCATGACTACACAACAGAGAAAAGACAATCTCTTCAACAAATGATGTTGAAAACTGAGTATCTACACTGAAAAAAATAAAGTTGGATTATTTTCTTGCACATTTTAAATAAAATAATGAAACTAAAAAACATATAATTAATACAACTCTTAGAAGAAAAAAATAGGAAAAATACAGAACACTGGTTTTGAAACTTTTTTGTAGATATGACATCATACTTATGAAAAACATAAAAACCCCCAAAATTTAACTATGCTAAACTTAAATATTTTAAGATTTTCTCTGCACAGCAAAGAAAAAATTTAGTAGAATGACAATGCCATCAAAGGAATGGGTGAAAATATTCGCAAATTTCATGTGATGAGTTAATATTCAGAATGATAAACAACTAAAACTGAACAACAAACATTGAATAAATTGATCCAGAAATGGACAAAGAATTGAACTGATACTTAATCAAATATATATATAAGTAGAAAAAAGCACTTAAAATAATGCAAAAAAAGTACCAATTGTAGAGAAATACAAAACAAAATTACAATCCAAAACAAAACCACCTCATACCCATTAGAATGGCCATGATAAATTTTTAAAATGTCATATCTGTTGAGGATGTAAAGAAATTAAAACTCATGTGAATTGTTGGTGGGGAAAAAAGGATGCAACCATCATATTATGAATGTTTCTTAAAAATTAAATTACATAATTCAGGAATTCCACTTATACACCTATATTCAAATATAAATCATATTATTTGACTGGAATATAAAATATATTTTTATATATTAATACATTTATAAATGGAATCCAAGAATTCCACTTACAAATCTATATTCAAACATAAATATAAATGTATATTCCAAATATAAATCTATATTCAAACAAAGAATGTGGAAGTTATATTTGAATATATATTTGGAAGTTATATATTTAACCAGTTAATATATATTTAACCAGTTAATATATATTTAACCAGTTAATATATATTTAACCGGTTAAATATATAACCTGGAAGTTATATACTTAATATATATAACATTTACATATTAAATATATAAATATTGGTATAATATATTTATTATACCAATATATTATATATAAATATATTATACCAATATTTACAAAACCCAAAAGGTAGAAGTAACCCAGATATCCCTTAACGGATAAACAAATTAAAAATGTAACACATACATACAGTGGAATATTATTGAGCCTTAAAATAGTAAACCTTGTCACATTCTTACATAAACGTTGAGAATATTATGTCAACTGAAATAAGATAGTAATAAAGTGACAGATACTATATGATTCCATGATATGAGTCATCGTAAGTAGTCAAATAGAAACAGAACGGAGAATGGTGTTACTCAGGGTCTAAAGAGAGGGTAAAATGGGCAGTTGTTACTTAATGGGTATTAAGTTTTAATTTTAGAAGACGTAAAAGTTCTACAGGTCTTTACATAACAATGTAAATACTCTTAACGACTAAAATGTACACCTTTTTTGAGGTAGGTTCTCACTCTGTCCTGCAGGCTGAAATGAAGTCACATAATCTTAGCTCACTGCAGCCTCAACCCTGCATGCACAAGTGAGTCTCCTGCCACGGCCTCACAAGGAGCTAGGACCACAAGTGGACAACACAACACCTGGTTAATTTTAAAATTTTTGTGGGGATGGGCTCTCTATATGCTGCCCAGGCAGGTCTTAAGTTCCTGGGCTTAAGCAATGCTTCTGCCTCAGTTTCCCAAAGTGCTGGCATTATAGGCATGAGGCTCCACCACACTCAGCACTGAAATATAGACTTAAAAAGCTTTAAAATGGTAAATTTTATATTATGCGTTTTCTCGATTTTTTTTGAAAACAACTAAAAGTGATATACGTCTTTCTATAAATCACAAAATATATAAATATAAATCACCTTCAAATCACAAAAGTGTTTCTTTCACACAAAGGAAATATATATATTTATCACTAAACACCTGGTGAATATACAACCATTTCTATGACTACTCACCTTCACATAGTAAGACAGCTATTGAAAATCAACCAAGAAGGCTGTTCGTGGTGGCTCACTCCTGTAATCCCAGAACGTTGGGAAGCCGAGGCAGGTGGATCACTTGAGGTCAGGAGGTAGAGATCAGCCTGGCCAATATGGTGAAACCCCGTCTCTACTAAAAATACAAAAAAATTAGCCGGGCATGGTGGCAGGCACCTATAATCCCAGCTACTCGGGAGGCCGAAGCAGGAGAATTGCTTGAACCTGGGAGGTTGCAGTGAGCAAAGATTGTGCCTCTGCACTCCAGCTGTGCCTCTACTGTGGCCTGCAGACCTTGGTCTCTACTGCGGCCCCTGAAGGAGTTCAGTGACTCAGTCTCAGCTGTCTTTGCCACAGTTCACAGCAATTCCTGCCAACACAGGAACCCACACAGTGATGTGGAAAAAAAACTTCCAAATACTCAGTGGTAGCCACACTTACCACATCCCGATATAAGGTCCACCGTATACACACCCAACTGCAGAAATCTGTCCTAGTTTCTGCCCTATAAATAAAACTCCTGAAGGAAATCCAGCCCACCCAGACATTAGATGGGAGTCACAACAACCAAAGCCCCTGGTAAAAAGCCACTTGAAGGTGGAATCCACTGCATACCCAGCAGCCTTGTGACACAGTTACACACTCTTCCCTACTACAAGTTCATAGGGCATCCCATTACCCTGGGGACCCAACAAAAGAAGATCTGTACCTCCTGAAACTAGTTTATAAAAAGTTAAAGAGCTGTTTTCTTCTTCAAATTTATAGACACCAGGGTAAGGCTACATAGTTCCATTTTCAATGTTTCTATTTTAACATAGCAGTGAAGTACTTTGCAGAAGAATTAGTCAAGAAAATGCCCCTAAAAATGACATTCAAATTGAGGGAAAAAAATTAAAATGTTGCTGTTTGTAGGTGACATGATCTTGTATATAGAAAACCATAAACAGTACATCAAAAACTAACAAATGCCCTCAGAAAATTAGAAATCTATAACATTAATATATAATTACCAGATATGATTCCATATGCTAACAACAAACCATCTGATAAAAAAGGAAGAAAACAATCTCATTTCCAATAGAATTAAAATAATAAATTTCTGAAAAATAAATTTAACAAAGAAGGCAAAAGATCTTTACACTGAAACATATATTGATGAAAGAAATGGAAGAAGTCACAAATAAATGCAAAAATATATCATGCTTATGAACTGGAAGAATAAATATTATAAAGTGCCATATGATTCAAAGTGATCTACATTTCAATGAACTCTCTATTAAAAATCCAGTGACATTTTTCACGGTTATGGAAATTACAATTCTAAAATTTACATGAAACTACAATAGGCTTTGAAAAACCAAAGCAATCTAGAGGAAAAGGGACAAAGCAACCAAATTTCATACTTTATGATTTCAAACTATATTTTAAGATTGTAGTAAAAAAACAAGATGATACATGCAAAATATGGACACAAGAAACATATGGAACAGACTAGAGCCCAGAAATAAACCCAGGCTTATAAAGTTTACTAATTTTTGACAAGTGCACCAAAAATACACAATGAACAAAGTATAGTCTTTTTAATATTTGTTCTGAAAAAAGAACCAGGCAAAATAATAAAATTAGCTTATTTTTCTTACACCATGCTAAAAGTTAAATTACAGACTTAAATATGAATCCTTAAAAAACCTGAAAAAAAATACATGGAAAACCCTCATGATATGGTCTTAACAATAATTTGTTAGACATAATACCAAAAGTACAGCAACAAAAGCAAATATAAACAAGCTGGACTGCATCAAACTAAAAACCTTCTGCACAGAAAAGGGAACAATAAAATAAAAAAAATTGTAGAATGGGAAAAATTATTTGCAAACCATACATCTGATAAAAGATTTATATACAAAATATATAAGAAATGCAAGCAGATTAAAAGCAAAAACAACAGTAACCCAGTTCAAAATAGGCAAAAAACTAAACTGATATTTGTCCAATGAAGACATACAAATGGCCAACAGATAAGCCATAAAGTACTCAATATCACCAAATATCAGGCAACTGCAAATCAAAACCAAGATGAGTATCATTTAAAACATGTTAGAATGGATAATGTAAAAAGAAGAAACATAACAAGTGTTGACAGCACTTTGAAGAAAAAAAATTCTGTACATTTTTGGAGAGTTATAAATTGATGGAGTCATTATAAAAACCAATAGAGGTTATTTTAAATACAGAACTACTACACAATCTAGCAATCCCACTTCTGTGTATATAACAAAAGGAAATGAAATAAGTAACTTGAAGACATATCTGTACCACCATATTTGTTGCAGCATTATTCACAATTGCCAAGATATAAAAAACCTAAATGTTTGTGGATGCTGAATAAAGAAAAGCTGGCATAAATAAACAATAGAATATTATTTAGCCTGAAAAATAACAAAATCTTGCCATTTCAACAACGTGGGTAGAACTGGAATACATTATGCCAAGGGAAATAAGCCAGACACAGCAAGAGAAATACTACACCTTCTCACTTATATGGGGAATCTAAGAAAGCTGAACTCACAGAAGCAGAGACTGCAATGGAAGTTGTCTGGGACTAGATATGGGAGAAAATGAAAAGATATTGAAAAGACACAAATTTTCTGTTATGAGTAAGTTTTTTGAATGTAACATATAGCTTCATGATACAGTTAACACTAATTTTTTGTATGCTTAAAATTTGGTGTCAGCAGATCTTAGATGTTTTCATTACAATAAAGGTACCTATGTGAGGAAAGGTGATAGAAATGTTCATAAACAAGTTGTGCTAATCATTTACAATCTACACATGCAGTAAGTCATTACATTGTACACCATAAATATATAATTATAAAATTTTTATTTGTAAAAAAATCCACAATACACATCTACATATATATACACACATATAAATTACAGTTCTGGTAAACTTTATCCTAAACAAGATAAAATTATAAAATAGTAATTTAAAAAACAAGGGAAGAAGTGGGAGCTTAACATATGCTCAGTAATGTTCTAAGTTCCCTGACATAGTGAATTGAAGAAATGTAGGAAATATATATGTTATATTACAGTTGAGAAATTAAGACAGAATTGAAATTACCAACCTCAGTTAGTACTAAAAGAATAAAAATTTCAATTCAAATAACATTAGATATTCTTAAAGAGATCCTTAATATTCTGATTAAATTACCGAGTATGAATTTCTGTAGAAACTCATTTGAAACCTCCATAAAATAAGAAACTATAAAGCAGAAAACATACAACATATGTTTGCTGTATTTCTGGGATTTCTGAACCAAATCTCAATATCACTACTTTTACATATTTCAGACACAATGCAGAAAGAGAACTTAAAAATTGTTAAACACAGGGTTTCTAAAAAGTATACAGCTATTTGTATATCCCCAAAAGCAATAAAAGTAGTCAGATTGTGCACTCCTTTATAAGCCATAAAGAGAATTTTGGCTCTCACTGCAAATCTGAAGAAAAATTATGGAAGAAAATGTAGAGTCATTAGAGAGCATGGGACAGAGGATGCCCCAATGTGAGAACAAGTGAAAAAACCCAGGCTTTTCAGAAACGATTTCCACTGGAGCACAGCTTCCCACATCACATGTAAAAGTCCGGGTTCCTCTCGGCCTTTGGATGTCTCATCTATGTCATCCTCTTCTTCATTCGCTTTCACCTACCTGGGTGCTTCATACTCCATGGCTTTTTCCTTTGCTCCAGACAGGTGACCAGGTCTGGCTTAGAGAAGACAATACCTGTTTTATTTTAAAAAGCAGCATGAGCATGAATTTTCCTGGGATTCTCCATTTACCAACCTAATACTGTGCTAAGCAGAGAAAAGAGGACATAATAGAGGATTCTAGAAAATTAATTCCAAAATACTTTTTACTGACAGAACCTTTAGCATATTCAGAAAGTACATTAAATATCTGGGTCCTCTGTTTCACTCCTCAGTATTACTGAATCAAAAACTGGTGGTGGCAATTGAATTTTAAGTTGTGGACAACATTATTTTATGCCACTAAATTTCTGAAATTACCACTTATCTAGAGTGAATATTATAGATAAGCTCAGGAAAGGGGAAAATTCAGGTCAAAATGAAACAACTTGAAGAATTTATTTTCCACACCAAAAAATCCTCAAGATTGTCTTGAAAACAGGGATCTGAAATTCACTCATGCAAAGCAGAAATTACCAAAACACATCCTACAAAGGAAGAAAATGAAACCTTTAGGGTAAATTAGGAATTCTATATTGAAGTTATCCTCAACGAAGAAGACCGGGTTTCTGTAGTTCTCTAACATCACATCCTTATACAAATTCTGCTGAGCAGCATCCAGGTATTGGCAGTCCTCCAGACAGAATTGTATGGCTACATCCCTGAATGTCAACAGTCCCTGAAAACACACACACACACTTCAAGTGGCCATGGACAGAATTCTTAAATTGACTCAAGATAAAATGAGTGAAGAGAACTGATTCTGACTTATACGACTGAAAATGTCCTATAAAATAACTCACAACAAAAAATATTCTGTTGTATTCTCTATCTCTGAGAAAAGAGAGCATAAGATTCACAATACCAGTGTAGTGTATTGATGATATTTTTTGAATGATAAAGTACAAAATTAACAACAGGAACATAGACATGTACATTTTTGAGTGCTTGATTTAATCATACAGTATAAGTTCTGTATATTTCTCAGATAAAAAATTCAGGCTTAGTTATAAAGTACCTCTCAAATTTTAATGTGTACAACAATAAACTGGAGATCTTTTTATGCAGATTTTGTTTCAAGAAACCTGAGGTAAAACCTGAGTTTCTGAATTTCTAACAAGCTCCCAAGTGACACCAATCTTTCTGGTCCAAGATAAATATTTTGTCAAACATTCATTATGTGGCAGAGCCTGGGTTTTTATGACCAGTAAACAAAGATGAGAGACTTCACTTTTTAAAGAAAGACATATGCAAAGAGAATCTAAGAAGAAAAGAGAACTTCCAGATTACATGTGATACTTTATGCACATCAGCTGGTAAATGTCCCCAAGGTACTCAATAATAAAGAGAAAAATAACTCTAGAGTGGAAAAAAATTCTCAGAGAACTATTTAACTAAGCAAATCAAATTAACACCAATTATAACAGAACAAATTTTTCATCATGCGCTGATGCTCACAGAAGGACACAATATCACTGCTGTGATACTGGCCCCTGCGAAAGAAGCAAATTGTAATTCAAATCTAATCATAAAGAAACAAGTTTTATGCAAAATGCAAACTACAGTAATCACTCACATTGTGTAATCTCTAACAGAGTATTTACGCAGACTTTCTTTAGCATTCTAGAAAGCGAGTATCTCCTAATTATTTTTTTCAAAACTTTCTGAATTATTCTGGGTAATAAATGCCATCCCATTCAAATGTGCATATTTTAATCCTGTTCCGCATGGAGTTGATGGAGCACACAGACAGAGCTTCAACATTACATATTCCCCTTTTGCATGAATATCTAAGAACCCCACCTCTTCCCCAGTAGGAATCTTGGGTATCCATACCTTTCCATGTGCACCAGCACCAGCAATGAAGGGTATTTTTCTTTTTTTTTTTTTTTCCTTTGGAGATGGAGTCTCTCTCTGTTGCCCAGTCTGGAGTGCAGTGGCATGATGTAGGCTCACTGCAACCTCCGCAACCTCCACCTCCTGGGTTCAAGTGATTCTCTTGCCTCAGCCTCCCAAGTAGCTGGGATTACAGGCACCTGCCACCACGCCCAGCTATTTTTTGTATTTTTAGTAGTGACAGGGTTTCACCATGTTGGCCAGGCTGGTCTCAAACTACTGACCTCAGGTCATCGGCCCACATCGGCCTCTCAAAGTGCTGGGATAATAGGCATGAGCCACCTTGCCCAGCCAAAGGGAATATTTTTAATATTACGAGTCTTAAATTAATGGTGAGAATTCTGCATGACAGAGAAGAAGCCAAGATAAAGAGAATGTCAAGAAGGCTCTAGTATGTAGAAAAAAAGTTTTTTTCAGAGTTCCTTGACTATCATGAGAAGAAAAAATGTTTAAACAAACTTATAGGGAGAAACAGCATAAAATCAAGAAGTACAGGTTTGTAAGTTCTAAACATATGGCATTCCAGGAGGCAGAGTGAACACTGCTCCCTATCTGAAGACACAGTCACCTGTGTCTTCACAGAAAAAAAGCCATTTTTCTCTTCATCATCCTTCTCTAGAATTTCTTCTCAGGTGATATTCTCTGGACAAGTCACACCTGCATCTTGGGAATATGCCTTTAAAGGAATCAGCACAATCCCTTCACTTGCTACCACCACAAACACAGGTAGAAAGATCCAGGCATGCAGAAAATGTCCACCCATTTATGTTGTTTATAACAGGTGAGATTCAAGGACAGTGAGCTCCTCCATGAAGATCAAAATTTATCTTTCTCTTTTCCTGCCACAGATGCCACAATTTCTGCTACAGCAATGGGAATATGGGCCACACAAACTTGTCCCTACCAAATCCAACCATAGCAGGCTCTGTGATCTCCCTTTGGAGTAAAGTTTGAACTCAACTCTCATGAATGTATTTTGAATTCCTCATGTTTGACCCTGGCCTCAACCTGGAGGCACTTAATTATATCAACAAGGATGCTTCCACAAAGAACAATATACAGAGCCTGCGGGAAGGGCACAAGTGAAAAGATTTCTGCAACCTGGCCATGGAATCTTAATTAGAAGCCTGGGCCAAGAATCACTTAGCTAAGCATTGCCTCTCAAGCTTCAATGTGCATATAAATCATTTGGTAACCCTGGCCCCACACTATGTAATGTGATTCTGCAGGTTTTAAAAGGGTCCATGAAAGTACATTTTAAATACATCTGTCAATGCTGATGTAGCTTCCCCAGACCCATCATTAGTAGCATTTAGCTAGAAAAATCAGGCATGGAACAGACTCTTACACTCATCACTCATCACAACACAAATACTTCTGATCAAATAAACAATCAATCTCTATCCTGAAAGACCACATTCTTTGCTAGCTTTTTAAAGTTTACAGAGACAGGAGAAGGCAGCAATGTCTGAGTAAGTCTGCACTGAAAAACAACATGTACACATATACTCATGCAATGCTTATTAAGTAGGTAATATGTGCTCAGGAGTGTGTTACAGAGCACTGTGCTGGGAACATCACATTATGTGATTTAATCTTCGTAACAACTTGAGAGTTGGGTACTAAGTGTTCAATAATTCTCAGAATTTAGATAAAGGGGCCAGCATTGTTTTCTTCTCCTGTTTATCTCTTGTTGATTTTTTTTGGGGGGGGGCACAGAGTGTCACCCTTGTTGCCCAGGCTGGAAGTGCAATGGTACGATCGATCTTTGCTCACTTCAACCTCCACCTCCTGGATTCAAGCAATTCTTCTGCCTCAGCCTCCCGAGTAGTTGGGATTACAGGCATGCACCATGACACTGAGCTAAGTCTGTATTTTTAGTAGAGACAGGGTTTCTCCATGTTGGTCAGGCTGGTCTTGAACTCCCAACCTCAAGTGATCCGCACACCTCGGCCTCCCAAAGTGCTAGGATTACAGGCATGAGCCACAGAGCCCGGCCTCTCACTGATTTTTTTTTTAAATGAATAGCATGAGAGATAAATATAGACAGATGGGAGGGATACAGAAAGGAAAGGGTTAAGTGTAGTTCAGAGGGATTTTTTATTGTGTTTCTATTTACTTTCTTGTGACTTGTGGAGTAACTACTGGGATGGAATGTCTCTACAAGTACTGGTTTTAATTAAAAAGAGATAAGACCTCAAAATATATAGGTTATTGCTGTAATTCATCTTCTTTTGGGTTTCAGAATATTGTGAGCATAAGCTCTAGAGAGGCAGCAGGAGCTACCTCCCAAATCTCTGGTCTCCTCTAATGAGTTCTGTGAGGAGAGACTCCAGGGTGGGACCAGATCTGAATGAGGCTCAGAAAAGGGTGAATCTGGACAGAGCTGGGGTGGAGAAGTGGTCCTATGTTGAATTATGATCTCTATGGTGCTGGAGTACTTCTTGTTCTGTCTTTCCTAAGCCTGTCCAAGAGAAACTTAAGAGTTTGTAAAATTTTAATCCATTTAGCCACTACTCTATTTTATAACATATAATAACAAACAATTTAAGCAAAATTTTTAGGGCTTTCTAGGATAATTTTATTAGAAAATATGTATTCTTAGCAAGGTAAAAGCAATAGAAATACAAATAACTCTCCTGTTTGATAATAGCTCTTCAGGTGGTGACATCAGAAGTCACAACAACATAAGAGCCATCACCCAAGTCCCCTTAATACCCCCACTTTATTGTACTGACTATATGATGCTTAATTAGACCATTTATCCAGTTGCTCTAGACTGAAAGTTTTTGAATAACAAGGACCATGACTGCTTCATCTATTTTTCTAAAGGCCATATGAAATGGAGGCAATTTGTTTATCAGTCTGAGTCTCCAGAACTCCTGAATTTTTTGCCAAGAAAACTGGAGAAACTCTCATCCGGGTACCAACCAAGGAGATTCTTTCTACAAAAGAAGGAACAGACATGAATGACTCACTTCCCTTCCTCTAACATGGAAGCAGAATTAGACACTCCTGCCAGCCTGACCCAAGTCTGTACAGGATATCCTGAAATGTTTTAAAGATTCCCGGATGATTGTGAGAGGATTCCTAGTGACCATGGACTGATGACCCTATGATGATCCAGGCAGGAAAGACTCAAGCTGACTCTAAATAGAAAATGGAACTGCCCTGGTATAGCTCCAGAACCTGGATCTACATGTGATATCACCTGTTCTGATTAGCTAGCTCTTAGGTAAGAGAAAGGACAAGGATACTCTACTCCAGTATCACATTTTACAAATAGGTAAACTTATGTCATTGCTCTGGGTATTTTGTGGCTTTGATCTCTCCCTGCTCACATGTATGTTTACACTTACAGATTGTGCAACCAGATTCTACTTACACCAGCAGCCTCTCACATAACCATAGCAGGTCACTGGAAAATATCTGGAAAGCTCAAAGGGATACACTCTGAAAGGAGGGCTTTAAGATTTCTATGCTGACATCTCACAGATCAGAAAATGTCTCCTATGGGTTTTCTGTACATTCTCAATCCAAAATCTGGCTCTCTCCTGTGAATCCCAGGGAGAGCTCAGCTCTTATGTGCAGATTACAGGTAAGATCATCCTGACTCTTCATTCTTTGGTGTTACAGCAAGAAGAGTAAAAACAAAAAAACTTCCATCATAAAGTCTGCTCTAGCACATGATATGTCAGCCTAAAAAGAAAAGGCTAAGGCAACACTCGTTTAAGTAGAGAGTTTATTTGGGCCAAGCCTCAGGATTGAAATCTGGGAGCATAGATTCAAGTTGCCTTGAATCTACACTTTAATTAGCAGCAGTTACAAGTGGATTTACAAAGGCAAAAAAGAGGGACAGGGAGTGGACTGAAACAAAGTTGTTTGTCAGAAATTCTTCTTGGCCATATATTTTAAGCTATAAGGTATTGCTTATAACATCCAGTGTGGCATTATTAGGTTAATTTATATCTACTTGTAGCAATAGCAGTTTCAAGAGGTAAAAAAGTAGCTCAAAGGAGGCAGTAGAACATAATTATGTTCTCATTTTTATGTCTCTCCGGGCCTGATAAAACTAAAAGGACTTGCACTC
The DNA here is from genome assembly GCF_000001405.40 of Homo sapiens. NCBI lineage: Eukaryota > Metazoa > Chordata > Mammalia > Primates > Hominidae > Homo > Homo sapiens. Next base: position 15,348,374 of record NC_000022.11, read on the forward strand.
CGCAGATCAAAGTTATTCTTTTTCCTCTAATCTCAAGACCGAGATTCAGAATTTGGTACTGGAGATTTAGGTCCTGGATGGGTGGAGAAATGGCAGGTGTTAACTACACATTTATGGGAATTTTGGGAGGAGGAGAAAGAGGAACGTTGAGATACTCACGTTTACTCAATGCGCACATGTCACTCTAATTGTTCTTCTAGGCCTAATAGTCAACTCAGTTTCACATCTGAAGACACTATGGTCACTGAAAGAGGTGAAATGGCTGATTACTGTCCTGTGAATTTTGTCAACCACTTGTAGAAAGGCTTCACCTCTCTACAAGTGGTTGTAGAGGACTATAGATGTGAAACAGGCAGAGACACAATTCTGCCTGCATACTCTGGGGTCAGTGTGCACTTTGAAGCATAACTGACTGGGTTGACTGGAAGAATGAGAGGGAAAGCCTTCTCTAAGGTGAAGCTTGGTGGGCACCTTATACGTATATACAATGTCTGGTAATTGTGGACAGTGTTTGAGAAATATAATTAAAAGGAAAATTGTCTCCAGTCCTAGAAAAAACCCACAATAACAGAACAGAAAGAAAAGTGTTTTATTGCACAATAAAACCAGAATGTGATGTGACGTGAATCACAGACAATCTGCTCAAGAGATTGCAAAGACAGAAAGGTCTCTATAATTAGTCCTCAAGAAGAAGAATTGACAGCACCATTTGTCATACACAGTTTATCCTAAATTCATCTGGTAATAGGGGAGGCCATTTGTGTATGTCATTTGGTTATATTGAAAGGAAAAATAAACTTCTGACATCTTCATGATAGGAGGTAGTTTTCCAACTTACAGCCAGGTGCCTGCTGAAAGTAGGCTCTGGTTCTTTTATAGACACTGTGAGATAGAATACTATTATTTTGGCTATTTACATTTCAAAGCAAAGGGTCCCTAATCCCTAGGCCACGGGCTGCAGCAATCCTGCTCGCCCTGTCCTGGTGGCCTATGTCCCATCTCTTCCCCTACCATCTACCACCGAGGCGCAGCTCACAGCACACAGCTGGCAGCCCACATTCCACATGGACTCCAACTGCCACAGCTGCACTCCAGTGTCACATTATGGAGCAGCGTCCCTGAACTGCAGGAGGAGAACCTGCAGGACTCCTGGGTAGGATTGCACTTTTGCAATAATGGAAATGGGAGCAATGTTTCAGCCTAAGTTTCTATTTATAATGGTGACAAAAAAATACTGCTGGATTCCCAGCATGGGTCTCGATAGAGTGTCAAAGAGTTCTCATTGTGACAGCCCAACTCACTCAGAAACACCATGAGACACTTTTGGGTGTCCCTTCTGAAGACAGACACTGAAAGCATTGAAGAGAAAAACAGCTCTCAGTCTGAATAAAATTGTATTACGAGGTTAAAAGCATCTGAAAGAGAAATTCAGACTACATATAATATTAGCCAAGTCGACCAGAAAATACTCCCCTGAGAAAGTTTCTCTCTAAATACCCAAAATGCACAGCTGCTCTCAACACAAGAAACACAGTGTTATGAAGAAAGGGCGCATATTCTCAGCAGAATTTCTTAAGATTTCTCTTCCATCTCTTCTGCTCTCTCATCTTCTGGCCATTGGATTGAGGATCTACACTGGAACACATCAGGCAACCTTCGCTAGCACTTTTTGATAAAGAATTGGAATTTGACTCTGTTTACATAGTAGAACTATATCTGAGATTGCAACTTATCTAACTGAAGACTATTATGATTCATGATTTTTGGGTAGTCACATCACTTGCATTGATTTGTTCTGTAAGAGTGGCATTCCTAATTTAGTAAAACATAAGAATAGACTGTAAGGCAGGACGTGGTGGTTCATGCCTGTAATCCCAGCACTTTGGGAGGCTGAGGCAAGCCGATTACCTGGGTCGGGAGTTGAAGACCAGCCTGGCCAACACGGTGAAACCCCATCTCTACTAAAATACAAAAACTAGCCAGGCGTGGTGGCAGACACCTGTAATCCCAGCTACTTAGGGGTTGAGGCAAGAGAATCGCTTGAATCCAGGAGGCAGAGGTTGCAGTGAGCTGAGATCACGCCACTGCACTCCAGCCTAGGTGACAGAGTCAGACTCCATCTCAAAAACAAAAACAAAAAAGATAGAATGTAAAATTTTGCTAACATATTACTAAATCTTTTTTTTTTTTTTTTTTTTTTTGGTTTTTGAGACAGAGTTTTGCTCTTGTTGCCCAGGCTGGAGTCCAATGGAGCAATCTCAGCTCACTGCAGCCTCCACCTCCCGGGTTCAAGTGATTCTCCTGGCTTAGTCTCCTGAGTAGCTAGGATTACAGTCATGCACCACCAACCCTGGCTAATTGTGTGTGTGTGTGTTTTTTTAGTAGAGACGGGGTTTCTCCTTGTTGGTCAGGGTGGTCTCAAACTCCTGACCTCAGGTAATCCGCCCGCCTCTGCCTCCCAAAGTGCTGTGAGCCACCACGCCCAGCTGACATATTATTATATCTATGGGATGAATTAATAAGCATGTCAGATTAATATCTACTGTAACAATTAGATAGTAAATTTTCTTTGGATATTAGATATAAATATCTAAGTATAAGTAATTTCAATATACTAGTAATGACAAATTTTTAAAATTATCTGTAACCTTAACTCAGTTATAATACTTTATATTTCAAAAGAATAAATAACGATATTAAAATTACTATTTAAGGGATTTATTCATAGTAAATATTGTGGCCTTATATTCACATAATTGTAGAAAATACTGTTTAATTTACATGGATGAATGTTGTCTACTAAAGACTACATAAAACTATGTTAATTCTTTTTCGAATTATTTTATTTTATTTTTTAAATTTATTATTATTATACTTTAAGTTTAAGGGTACATGTGCACAATATGCAGCTTTGTTACATATGTATACATGTGCCATGTTGGTGTGCTGCACTCATTAACTCGTCATTTAGCATTAGGTATATCTCCTAATGTTATCCCTCCCCCATCCCCACACACTGACCTCACATAGGATTCCAGAACACTGCTGGGTTCAGAGTATTTGTCCCTCACATAGGATTCCAGAACTGTTTTGTAATCCATTGTAATGGATAAAAATTCAGACCCTCGTAGCAGTGTTCTGGAATCCTATGTGAGGGACAAAAACTGAGAATCCAGCAGCATCCTGGAATCCTGTGTGAGTGACAAACATTCAGAGATTCGTAGCAGTGTTCTGGAATTCTATGTGAGGGACAAACACTCAGGACCCAGCAGCAGTGTTCTGGAATCCAATGTGAGGGACAAACATTCAGAACCCAGCAGCAGTTTTCCGGAATCCCATGAGAGGGACAAATATTCAGAACCCAGCAGCAGTGTTCTGGAATAGTATATTAGGGACAAACACTCAGAACCCAGGAGCAGTGTTCTAGAATCCTTTGTGAGGGACAAACATTCACACTCTTGAAGCAGTGTTCTGGAATCCTAAGTGAGGGACAAACACTCAGAACCCAGCAGCAGGGTCCTGGAATCCTTTGTGATGCGCAAACATTCAAACCCTTGTAGCAGTGCACTGGAATCCTATGTGAGGGACAACCACTCAGAACCCAGGAGAAGTGTTCTGGAATCCTCTGTGAGGGAGAAACACTCAGAACAGAGCAGCAGTGTTCTGGAACCTTATGTGAGGGACAAACATTGAGAACCCAGCAGCAGTGTGATGGAATCTTATGTGATAGACAAACACTCAGAACCCATCCACTATCTTCTGGAATCCTATGTGAGGGACAAACTTTCAGACACTCATAGAAGTGTTCTGAAATCCTATGTGAGGGACAAACACTAAGCAACCAAGAGTAGTGCTCTGAAATCCTTTGTAAAGGACAAACAAACAGAACCCAGTAGCAGGGTTCCGGACTCCTTTCTGAAGGAAAAACATTCAGACCCTTGTAGCAGTGTTCTGGAATCCTATTTAAGGGACAGACACTCAGAACCCAGCAGCAGTGTTCTGGAATCCTATGTGAGGGACAAACACTCAGAACCTGGCAGCAGTGCTTTGGAATCCTGTGCGATCGCCAAAGATCCAGAACTTCATAGAAGTGTTCTGGAATCCTATGTGAGGGACAAACACTCAGAAACCAGCAGCAGTGCTCTGGAATCCTATTTGAGGGACAAACATACAGAAGCCAGCAGCAGTGTTTTGGAATCCTATGTGAGGGACAAACATTCAGAAACTCCTAGCTGTGTTCTGGAATCATCTGTGAGTGGCAAACACTCAGAACCCAGCAGCAGTTTTCTGGATTCCTATATGAGTGACAAACACTCAGAAGTCAGCATCAGTGCTCTAGAATACTTTGTAGGGGACAAACATTGAGACACATGAAGCAGTGTTCTGGAATCCTATGTGAGGGACAAACACTCAGAACCCAGCAGCAGTGTTCTGGAATCCTTTGTGATGGACAAACATTCAGACCCTCGTAGCAATGTTCTGGAATCCTATGTGAGAGACAAACACTCAAAACTAAGCAGCAGTGTTCTGGAATACTATGAGAGGAGCAAACACTCAGAATGCGGCAGCAGTGTTCGGGAATCCCATGTGAGGGACAAACACGCAGAACCCGGCAGCTGTGTTCTGGATTTGTATGTGACGGAAAAACACTCAGAACCCAGCCACTGTGTTCTGGAATCCTATCTGAGTGACAAATATTCAGACACCCATAGAAGTGTTCTGGAATCCTATGTGAGGGACAAACACCCAGAAAGCAGCAGTGGTGCTCTGGAATCCTTTGTGAGGGAAAACCATTCAGACGAACGTAGCAGTGTTCTGTAATGCTATGTGAGGGACAAACCCTCTGAACCCAGCAGCAGTGTTTGGGAATCCCATGTGAGGGACAAACACTCAGAACCCAGCAGCAGTGTTCTAGAATCCTTTTTAAGTGACAAACATTCAGAACTTCGTAGAAGTGTTCCAGAATACTACGTGAGGGACAAACACTCAGAACCCAGCCACTGTGTTCTGAAATCCTATCTGAGGGTCAAACATTCAGAAACCCATAGAAGTGTTCTGGAATCCTATGTGAGGGACAGACACTCAGAAACTAGCAGCAGTGCTCTGGAATCCTTTGTGAGGGACAAACAAGAAGAATGAAGCAGCAGTGTTCTGGAGTCCTATGTTAGGGACAAACATTGAGAAACCATCAGCAGTATTCTGGAATCCTTTGTGAGGAACAAACATTCAGAACTTCGTAGAAGTGTTCTGAAATCCTATGTGTGGGACAAACACTTAGAAACCAGCAGTGGCGTTCTGGAATCCTTTGTGAGGGACAAACAAACAGAATCCAGCAGCAGTAATCTGGAATCTTTTGTGACGGAAAAACATTCTGACCCTCGTAGCAGTGTTCTGGAATCCTGTGTGTGGAATAAACACTCTGAACCCAGCAGCAGTGTTCTGGAATCCTATGTGAGAGACAAACACTCAGAACTCAGCAGCAGTGTTCTAGAATCCTGTGTGAGCGACAAAGATGCAGAACTTCGTAGCAGTGTTCTGGAGTCCCATGTGAGGGACAAACAATCAGAACCCAGCATCAGTGTTCTGGAATCCTATGTGAGGGACAAACACTCAGAAACCACCAGCAGTGTTTTTGAATCCTATGTGAGAGAAAAACTCTCAGAACCCAGCAGCAGCGTTCTGGAATCCTTGGTGAGGGAAAAACATTCAGAACCTCGTAGCAGTGTTCTGGAATCGTAAGTGAGGCACAAACTCTCAGAACCCAGCAGAAGTGTTCTGAATCCCATGTGACTGACAAACAGAAACCAGCAGCAGTGTTCTAGAATCCTTTGTGAGGCACAAACATTGAGACCCTCGAAGCACAGTTCTGGAATCCTATGTGAGGGACCAACACTCAGATACCCAGCAACAGTGCTCTGGAATCCTTTGTGATGGACAAACATTCAGACCCTCGTGCCAGTTTTCTGGAATCCTATGTGACGGACCAACACTCAGAACCCAGCAGCAGTGTTCTGGAATCCAATGTGAGGGACAAACACTCAGAACCCAGCAGCAGTGTTCTGGAATCTTATGTGAGGGAAAAACACTCAGAACCCAGCAGCAGTGTTCTGGAATCCTATGTAAGGGGCAAACACTCAGAACCCAGCAGCAGTGTTCTAGAGTCCTTTTTGAGGGACAAACACTAAGAACCCAGTAGCGGTGTTCTGGAATCATTTGTGACAGACAAACATTCAGACCGTCGTAGCAGTGTTCTGGTATCTTACGTGAGGGACATATACTCAGAACACAGCAGCAGTGTTCTGGAATCCTATGTGAGGGACAAATACACAGAACCCAGCAGCAGTCTTGTGGAATCCTATGTGAGGAACAAACACTCAGAAAAACGCAGTAGTGTTCTGCAATCCTATGAGAGCGACAAACACTCAGAAACCAGCCACTGTGTTCTGGAATCCTTTCTGAGGGACAAACATTCAGACACTCATAGAAGTGTTCTGGAATCCTATGTGAGGGACAAACTCTCAGAAACCAGGAGCAGTTCTCTGGAATCCTTTGTGAGTTACAAACAAACAGAACCCAGTAGCAGTGTTCTGGAAGCCTTTCTGACAGAAAAACATACAGATCCTTGTAGCACTGTTCTGGAATCCTATGTGAGGGACAAACCCTCAGAACCCAGCAGCCGTGTTCTGGAATCCTTTTTGCGGGACAAACATTCAGAATCTCGTATCTGTGTTCTGGATTCCTATGTGAGGGTGAAACACTCTGAACCCAGCAGACGTGTTCAGGAATCCCATGTGATGGACAGACATTCAGATCCTGGTAACAGTGTTATGGAATCCTTATGTGAGGGACAAACACTCAGAACCCAACAGCAGTGTTCTGGAATCCTATGTGAGGGACAAACATTGAGAACCCAGCAACAGTGTTCTGGAATCCTATGTGAGGGAAATACACTCAGCTCCCAACAGCAGTGTTCTGGATACCTTTGTGAGGGACTAACTTTCAGACCCTCTTAGCAGGATTCTCTAATCCTATGTGAGGGAGAAACACTCGGAACCCAGCAGGTGTGTTCTGGAATCCCATGTGAGGGACAGACATTCAGACCAACACACAATGTTCTGGAATCCTATGTGAGGGACAAGCACTCAGAACCCAGCAGCAGTGCTCTGCAATCCTTTGTGAGGGACAAACATTGAGACCCTTGTAGCAGTGTTCTGGAAACCTATGTGAGGAACAAACATTCAGACCCTCATAGCAGTGTTCTGGAATCCTATGTGAGGGTAACACTCTCAGAACCCAACGGCAGCGTTTTGGAAACATTTTGAGGGTCAAATATTAAGACCCTTATGGTAGTGTCCTGGAATCCTATGTGAGGGTAACACTCTCAGAACCCAACGGCAGCGTTTTGGAAACATTTTGAGGGTCAAATATTAAGACCCTTATGGTAGTGTCCTGAAATCCTATGTGAGGGACAAACATTCAGACACTCGTAGGAGTGTACTGGAATCCTAAGTCAGGGACAAACACTCAGTACCCGGCAGCAGTGATATGGAATCGTATGTGAAGTACAAAGACACAGAACCCAGCAGCAGTGTTCTGGAATCCTATCTGGGCGACAAACATTCAGAACTTCCTAGCAGTGTCCTGGAATCCTTTGTGAGGAAAAAACATTCAGAGCCTCATAACAGTGTTCTGGAATCCTATGTGAGGCACAAACACACAGAACCCAGCAGCAGTGTTCTGGAATCCTATGTGAGGGACAAACACTCAGAACCCAGTAGCAGTGTTCTGGAATACTATGTGAGGGATAAACATTCAGACACTCGTAGCAGTGTTCTGGAATCCTATGTCAGGGTCAAACCCTAAGAATCCACCAGTATTGTTCTGGAATCCTTTGTGAGGGACAAATATTCTGACCCTCATAGCAGTGTTCTGGAATCCTATGTGAGGGAAATACTTTTAGACCCTCATAGCAGTGCTCTGGAATCCTATGTGAGGGACAAACACACAGAAGCCAGCAGTGGTGTTCTGGAATCCTATGTAAGGGACAAACATGCAGAACCCAGCAGCTATGTTGTGGAAACCTATGTGAGGGACAAACACCCAAAACCCAGCAGCAGATTTCTGGAATCTGTGAAGGACAAACATTCAGACCGTCGTAGCAGGGTTCTGGAATCCTATGTGAGGGACAAACATTCAGAACCCAGCAGCAGTGTGCTGGAATCCTATGTGAGGGACAAACCTTCATACCCTCACTGCAGTGTTCTGGAATCGTATGTGGGGAACAAACACTCAGAACGCAGCAGTAGTATTCTGGAATCCTTTTTGAGGGACAAATATTCAGACCCTCGTAGCAATGTTCTGGAATCCTATGTGAGGGTCAAACACTCAGAAACCAGAAGCAGTGTTCTGGAAACCTTTGTGAGGGACAAATATTCAGTCCCTCATAGCAGTGTTCTAGAATCCTATGCAAGTGACAAATATTCATATCCTCGTAGCAGTGTTCTGTAACCCTATGTGAAGGACAAACACTAAGTACACAGCAACAGTTTTCTGGAATCCTATGTAAAGGACAAAGACTCAGAACCGAACTGCCGTGTTCCGGAATCCTATAGGAGAGTCAAACACTCAGAACCCAGCAGCAGTGCTCAGGAATCCCATGTGACAGACAGATATTCAGACCCTCGTAACAGTGTTCTGGAATCCTAAGTGAGGGATAAATACTCAGAAAACAACAGCAGTGCTCTGGAATCCTGTGTGAGGGACAAACATTCAGAGCATCGTAGCAATATTCTGGACTCCTATGTGAGGGACGACCACACAGAACCCAGCAGCAGTGTTGTGGAATCCTATGTGAGGGCCAAACACTCAGAACCCAGAAGAAGTGTTCAAGAATCCTATATAAGGCACAAACACTCAGAAAACAGTAGCCATGTTCTGGAATCCTATGTGAGAGACAAACACTCAGAACCCAGCAGCAAGGTTCCAGAAACCTTTGTGAGGGAAAAATATTAAGACCCTTGTAGTAGTGTCCTGGAATTCTAAGTGAGAGACAAACATTCAGATCCTCGTAGCAGTGTTCTGGAATGCTATGTGAAGGACAAACACTCAGAGCCCAGCAACAGTGTTCTGGAATTCTATGTGATGGACAAACACTCAGAAACCAGCAGCAGTGTTCAGGAATCCTAAGTGAGGGACAAAAACTCAGAAAGCAGCAGCAGTGTTCTGGAACTCTATGTGAGGGACAAATATTCAGACCCTCATATCAATGTACTGGAATCCTGTGTGTGGGTCAAACACTCAGACCCAGCAACAGTGTTCTGGAAACCTTCTGAGGGACAAAGAATCAGACACTTGTAGCAATGTTCTGGAATCCTAAGTGAGCGAGGAATCTTCAAACCTCGTAGCAGTGTTCTGTAATCCTATGTGAGGGACAAACACTCAGAACCCAGCAGCAGTGTTCTGGAATCTTAAGTGAAGGACAAACATTCAGATCCTCGTAGCAGTGTTCTGGAATCCTGTGTGAGGGTAAAACCCTCAGAGCCTAGCAGTAGTGTTCTGGAAACCAGTGTGAGGGACAAATATTAAGAACCTCATAGTATTGTTCTGGAATTCTATGTGAGGGGCAGACATTCAGAACCTCGTAGCAGTGTTCTGGAATCGTATGTGAGGGACGAATACTCAGAACCCAGCAGCAGTGTTCTGGAATCCTTTGTGAGGGAGAAATACTCAAACCCAGCAGCAGTGTTCTGGAATCCTATGTGAGGGACAAACACTCAGAACCCAGCAGTAGTATTCTGGAATCCTTTGTGAGGGCCAGACATTCAGAATCTCGTAGCTGTGTTCTGGATTCCTATGTGAGGGACAAACACTCAGAACCCAGCAGCAGTGTTCTAGAATCCTACTTGAGTTACTAACACTCAGACCAAAGCAGTAGTGTTCAGGAAATCCATGTGACGGACTGATATTCAGACCCTCGTGGCTGTGTTTTGGAATCCCATGTGAGGGACAAACACAGAGAACACAGCACTAGTGTTCTGCAATCCTATGTGAGTGACAAACACTCAGAACCCAGCAGCAGTGTTCTGGAATCCGATGTAAGGGACAAACAATCAGACACTCGTAGCACTGTCCTGGAATTCTTTGTGAGGTTCAAAGACTAAGAACACAGCAAGAGAGTTCTGGAAACCTTTGTAAAGGACAAACATTCAGACCCTCTTTGTCGTGTTCTGGAATCGTATGTGAGGGTAAAACATTCAGAAACCAGCAGCAGTGCTCTGGAAACGTTTGTGAGGTACAAATATAAAGACCCTCATAGTACTGTTCTGGAATCCTATGTGACGGACAAACACTCAGAACCCTACAGCAATGTTATGGAATCCTATGTGAGGGGCAAACACTCAGAAGCCAGCAGCAGTGTTCTGGAATCCTTTGTGACGGACAAACTTTCAGATCCTTTTAGCAGTGTTCCGGAATCCTATGTGAGGGGCAAACACTCAGAAACCAGCAGCAGTGTTCTGGATTCCTTTGTGACGGACAAACTTTCAGATCCTTGTAGCAGTGTTCCAGAATCCTGTGTGATGGACAAACACAGAAACCAGCAGAAGTGTTCTGGAATCTAATGTGAGGGACAAACACTCAAAACCCAACAGCAGTGTTCTGGTATCCCATGTGAGGGACAAACATTCAGAGCTTCGTAGTTGTGTTCTGGAAACCTATGTGAGGGACAAACACTTAGAACCCAGCAGCAGTGTTCTGGAATCCTATGTGAGGGAGAGACATTCAGCCCCTCGTAGCAGTGTTCTGGAATCGTATGTGAGAGACAAACACTAAGAACCCTGCAGCACTGTTCTGGAATCCTTTGTGAGGGACAAACATTCAGACCCTTGTTGCAGTGTTCTGGAATCCTAACTGAGGGACAAACACTCAGAACCCAGCAGCGGTGTTCTGTAATCCTATATGAGGGAAAAACATTCAGAACTCAGCAGCAATGATCTGGAATCCTCTCTGAGGGACATTCAGACCCTCGTAACAGTGTTCTGGAACCTTATGTGAAGGACAAACATTCAGAAACACACAGCAGTGCTCTGGAATCCTTTGTGAAGGACAAACCCTCCGAGTCCAGCTGCAATGTTCCAGAATTTTTGTGAGGGATAAACATTCAGAACCTCGTAGCAGTGTTCTGTAATCCTATGTGAGGGACAAACACTCAGAACCCAGCAGCAGTGTTCTGGAATCCTACGTTAGGTACAAAAACTGAGAACGCAGCAGCAGTGTTCTGGAATCCTATGTCAGGGCAGATATTCAGACCCTCGTATCCGTGTTCTCGAATCCTATGTGAGGGACAAACTGTCAGAATCCAGCAGCGGTATTCTGGAATTCTTTGTGAGGGACAAACACTCTGAATCCTGCAGCAGTGTTCTGGAATCCTACGCGAGGGGCAAATATTCATGACCTCGTAGCAGTGTTCTGGAATCCTATGAGATGGTTAAACTCTCAGAACCCAGCAGCAGTGTTGTGGAAAGCTTTGTGAAGGACAAACATTCAGAATTTCTTAGCAGTGTTCTGTAGTCCTATGTGAGGGACAAACATTTAGACCCTCGTTGCTGTGTTCTGGAATCCTACGTGAGGGACAGACATTCAGACCCTCGCAGCAGTGTTCTGCAATCCTATGTGAGGGACAAGCACTCAGAACCCAGCAGTGTTCCAGAATCCTATGTGAGGGACACAGTTTTACAACCTCATAGCTGTGTTCTGGAATCCTATGTGAGGGTCAAACACTCAGTACCTAGCAACAGTGTTCTGCAAACCTTTCTGAGGGACAGACATTCAGAACCACCTAGCAGTTTTCTGGAATCCTGTGTGAAGGACAAACACACAGAACCCACCAGCAGTGTTCTGGAATCCTAAGTGTGGGACAGACACTTAGAACCCAGAAGCCATGTTCTGGAATCCAAAGTGAGGGGCAAACACTCTGAACCCAGCAGCAGTGTTCCATAATTTTTTGTGAGGGACAGACATTCAGACCATTGTAGCAGTGTTCTGGAATTCTATGTGAGGGATAGACACTCAGAAACCAGCAGCACTGATCTGGAATTCTTCGTGAGGGACAATCATTCACACCAGTTTAGCAGTGTTCCTGAATCGTACATAAAGGAGAAACATTCAGACCCTCGTAGCAATGTTCTGGAGTCTTATGTGAGGGACAAACTTTCAAACCTTCGTAGCAGTGTCCCGGAATCCTATGTGAGGGACAAACACTCAGAACCCAGCAGCAGTGTTCTGGAATACTATGTGACGGACAAACAATCAGAACCCAGAAACAGTGTTCTGGAATGCTATGTAAGGGACAAACATTCAGACCCTCGAAGCAGTGTACTAGAATCATATTTGAGGGACAAACACTCAGAACCCAGCAGCAGTGTTCTGCAATCTATTGTGAGGCACAAATATTCAGACCCTCATAGCAGTGTCCTAGAATCCTATCTGAGGGAAAAACATTCAGACCCTCATAGCAGTGTTCTGGAATCCTATGTGAGGGTCAAACACACAGATCCCAGCAGCAGTGTTGTGGAAACCTTCGTGAGAGACAAACATTCAGACACTGTTTGCAGTGTTCAGGAATTCTAAGTGAAGGACAAACGTTCAGATCCTCGTAGCAGTATTCTGGGATCTTATGTGAGGGACAAACCCTCAGAACACAGCAGCAGTGGGCTGGAATCCTATATGAGGAACCAACACAAAGAACGCAGCAGCAGTGTTCTGGAATCCTATGTGAGGGACAGACACTCAGAAACTTTCAGAGGTGTTCTGGAATCCTAAGTGAGGGACAGACATTCAGACTCTCAAAGCAGTGCTCTGGAATCCTATGGGAGAGACAAACACTCAGACCCTCATAGCAGTGTTCTGGAATCCTATGGGAGAGACAAACACTCAGACCCTCATAGCAGTGTTCTGGAATCCTATGTGAGGGTCAAACACTCAGATCCCAGCAGCAGTGTTGTGGAAACCTTCGTGAGGGACAAACATTCAGACACTGTTTGCAGTGTTCAGGAATCCTAAGTGAAGGACAAACATTCAGATCCTCGTAGCAGTATTCTGGGATCTTATGTGAGGGACAAACCCTCAGAACACAGCAGCAGTGGGCTGGAATCTTATATGAGGAACAAACACAAAGAAAGCAGCAGCAGTGTTCTGGAATCCTATGTGAGGGGCAGACACTCAGAAATTTTCAGAGGTGTTCTGGAATCCTTTGTGAGGGACAAATATTTAGAACCTCATAGCAGTGCTCTGGCATCCTATGTGAGGGAAAAACACTCTTAAGCCAGCAGCAGTGTTCTGGAATCCCTTGTGAGGGAAAAACACTCAGAACTCAGCAGCCGTGTTCTGGAATACTAAGTGAGTGACAAACACTCAGAAGACAGCAACAGTGTTCTAGAATCCATTTTGAGGGAAAAACTTTCAGACATTCAAAAAAATGTTCTGGAATCCTATGTGAGGGACAAAAACTCAGAACCCAGCAGCAGTGTTCTGGAATCCTTAGTGTTAGACAAACATTCAGACCCTCATAGCAGTGTTGTGGAATCCTAAGTAAGGGAAAAACACTCAGAACAAACTGGCAGTGTTCTGGAATCCTATGTCAGGGACAAATTCTCAGAACCCAGCAGCAGTGGTCTGGAATCACCTGTGAGGTACCCCACTCAGAACACAGACACTGTGTTATGAAATCCTATGTGAGGGAAAAACTTTAAGACACTCGAGGAAGTGCTTTAGAATCATACGTGAGGGAAAAACACCCAGAAAGCAGCAGCGGTGCTCTGGAATCCTTTGTGAGGGACAAACACACAGAACTTAGCAGGGGTTTTCTCGAATCCTTTGTGAGGGAAAACATTCAGAGGCTCCCAGCAGTGTTCTGGAATTCTATGTGAGGGAAAAACTCTCAGAACCGACCAACAGTGTTCTGAAATCCAGTGTGAGGGACAAACACTCAGAACCCATCAACAGTGTTCTAGAATGCATTGTGAGGGACAAACCTTCAGACCCTCGAAGCAGTGTTCTGTAATCCTGTGTGAGGGACAAGCACTCAGAACTCAACAGGAGTGTTCTGGAATCCTTTGTGAGGGAAAAACATTCAGAACTTTGTAGCAGTGCTCTGTAATCCTTTCGGAGGGGCAAACAAACATACCCCAGCAGCAGTGTTCTGGAATCCTATGTGAGGGACAAACACTCAGAATCCAGCAGCAGTGTTGTTGAATCGTTTGTGAAAGAGAAAGATTCAGAACCTCATAGCAGTGTTCTGGAAACCTGTGTGAGGGACAAACAGTCTGAACCCAGCAGCAGTGCTCTGGAATCCCATGTAAGGGTCAAACACTCAGAACCCAGCAGCCATATTCTGGAATCCTACATGAGTGACAAACACTCAGAACCCAGTAGAAGTGTTCTAGAATCCTTTGTGAGGGACAAACATTCAGACCCGTGAAGCAGTGTTCTGGAATCCTATCTGAGGGACAAACACTCAGAACCCAGCCGCAGTGTTCTGGAAACCTTTGTGATGGACAAACATTTAGACCATAGTAGGAGTGTTCTGCAATCCTATGTAAGGGACAAACACTCAGACCTCAGTATCAGTGTTCAGGAATACTACATGAGGGACAAACACTCAGAACCCAGCAGCAGTGTTCTGGAATCCTCAATGAGGGACAAACACTCAAAACTCAACAGCAGTGTTCTGGAATTCTATGTGAGGGACAAACACTCAGAACCCAGCCGCAGTGTTCTGGAATCCTATGTGAGGAATAAACACTCAGAACCCAGCAGCAGTGTTCTAGAATCCTATGTGAGGGACAGACACTCAAAACCTAGGCACTGTCTTCTGGAATCCTATTTGAAGGACAAATATTCAGACACTCATAGAAGTGTTCTGGAATCATATGTGAGGGACAAACACTCAGAACCCAGCAGAATTGTTCTGGTATCCTATGAGAGCAATAAACGTTCAGAATTTCTTAGCAGTGTTATGGAATCCTACGTGGGGGACAAATAATCAGAACCCAGCCTCTGTGTTCTGGAGTCCTATCTGAGGGAGAAACATTCAGACACACAAAGAAGTGTTCTGGAATCCAATCTGAGGGACAAACACTCCGAAAGCAGCAATATTTTTCTGGATTCCGTTGTGAAGGAAAAACAAACAGTATCCAGCAGGAGTGCTTCGGAATCCTATGTGAGTGGCAAACACTCAGAAACCAGCAGGAGTTGTCTAGAATCCTTTGTGAGGAACAAACATTCAGACACTCGAAGCAGTGTTCTGGAATCCTATGTGAGGGACAAACACTCAGAACCCAGCAGCAGTGTTCTGTAATTTTTGCTGATGGACAAACATTCAGACCTTCGTAACAGTGCTCTGCAACCCTATTTGAGGGACAAGCACTCATAACACAGTAGCAGTATCCTGGAATCCTTTGTGTGGGACAAACACTCAGAACCCAGCAGCAGTGTTCTGGAATCCTATGTGAGGGACAAACACTCAGTACCCACCAGCAGTGTTCTGGAATTCTATGTAAGGGACAAACACTCCGAATCCAGCAGCAGTGTTGTGGAATCCTATGTGAGGCACAAACTCTCAGAACCCAGCAGCAGAGTTCTGGAATCCTTTGAGAGGGACAAACACTCAGAAACCAGCCACTGTGTTCTGTATTCCTATCTAAGGGACAAACATTCATACACTCGTAGAATTGTTCTGGAATCCTATGTGATGGACAAACATTCAGGCCCTCGTAGCAGTGCTCTGGAATCTTATGTGAGGGACAAACACTCAGAAGCAGTAGCAGTATTCTGGAATCCTCAGTGAGGGACAAACACGCAGAACCCTGCAACAGTGCTCTGGAATCCCATGTGAGGTACAAACACTCAGAACACAGGAGCTATGTTCTGGAATCCTGTGTGAGTGACAAACACTCAGAACCCAGCAGCAGTGTTCTAGACACCTTTGTGAGGGATGAAAATTCAGACCCCTGAAGCAGTATTCTGGAATCCTATGTGAGGGACAAACACTCAGAACCCAGCAGCTGTGTTCTGCAATCCTATGTGAGGGACAAACACTCAGAACCCAGCAGGACTGTTCTGAAATCCTCAATGAGGGACAAACACTCAGAACCCAACAGCATTGTTCTGGAAATCTATGTGACGGACAAACACTCAGAACCCAGCTGCAGTGTTCTGGAATCCTATGTGAGGGACAAACACTCATAACTCAGTAGCAGTCTTCTGGAATCCCATATAAGGGACAAATACTCAGAACCCAGCCACTGTGTTCTGGAATCCTATCTTAGGGATAAATATTCAGACACTCATAGAAGGCTTCTGGAATCCTTTGTGAGGCCCAAACACTCAGAAACTAGCAGCGGTGCTCTGGAATCCTTTCTGAGGGACAAACAAACAGAACCCAGCAGAAGTGTTCTTTAATTCTTTGTGAGGGTAAAACTTTCAGACCCACGTAGGTGTGTTTTGGAATCCTATGTGAGGGACAATCACTCAGAGCCCAGCTGCAGTGTTCTGGAATTCTACGTGAGGGACAAACATTCAGAACCCAGCAGCAGTGTTCTGGAATCCTATGTGAGCGACAAACATTCAGAACTTCGTAACAGAGTTCTGGAATACTATGTGGGGGACAAACACTCAGAATCCTTACACTGTGTTCTGGAATACTAAGTGAGGGGCAATCATTTAGAACATCCTAGCAGTGTTCTGGAATCGTTAGTGTGTGACAAACACTCAGAACCCAGCAGCAGTGTTCTGGAAACTTATGTGAGTGACAAACACTCAGAACCCAGCAGCAGTGTTCTAGAAACCTTTGTGAGGGAAAAACATTCAGATGCTCAAAGCAGTGTTTTGGAATCCTACGTGAGAGACAAACACTCGGAACCCAGCACCAGTGTTCTAGAATCCTTTGTGACGGACAACCATTCAGACCCTCGTAGCACTGTTTTGGAATCCTAAGTGAGGGACAATCACTCAGAACCCACCAGCAGTGTTCTGGTATCCTATGTGAAGGAAAAACATTCAGATCCCAACAGAAGTGTTCTGGAATCCTATGTGAGGGACAAACACTCGGAACCCAGAAGAAGTGTTCTGGAATCCTATGTGAAGAACAAACGCTCAAAACCCAGCCACTGGGTTCTGGAATCCTTTCTGAGGGACAAACATTCAGATGATCGTAGAAGTGTTCTAGAATACTATGTGAAGGACAAACACTCAGAAACTAGCAGCGGAGCTCTGGAATCCTTTGTGAGGGACAAACAAACAGAACACAGCTAGAGTGTTCTGGAATCTTTTGTGAGGGAAAAACATTCAGACTCTCGTAGCAGTGTTCTGGAATCCTATGTTTGGGACAAACACTCAGAACACAGCAGCAATGTTCTGGAATCCCACCTGAGGGACAAACACTCAGACCCATAAGCAGTGTTCTAGAATCCTTTGTCAGGGACAAACCTTCAGACACTCGAAGCAGGGTTCTGGAAACCTATGTGAGGGACAAAGACTCAGAATCCAGCAGCAGTTCTCTGTAATCCTTCGTGAGGGACAAACAAACTGTACCCAGCAGCAGTGTTCTGCAATCCTATGTGAGGGACTAACACTCAGAAACCAGCAGCAGTGTTCTGGAATGCTTTGTGAGGGACAAACATTCAGAACCTCGTAGCAGTGTTCTGGAGTCTTATGTGAGGGACAAACACTCTTAACCCAGCAGCAGTGTTCTGCAATCCCCTGTGACAGACAAACTCTCAAAACCCCTCATCGGTGTTCTGGAATCCTATGTGAGTGACAAACACTCAGAACCCAGCAGCAGTGTTCCAGAATCCCTTTTGAGAGACAAACATTCAGACTTCGGAAGCAGTGTTCTTGAATCCTATGTGAGGGACAAATACTCAGGTCCCAGCAGCACTGTTCTGGATTCCTATCTGAGGGAGAAACACTCAGAAAAGTGTCACTGTGTTCTGGAATCTTATCTGACGGATAAACATTCAGACACTCTTAGAAGTGTTCTGTAATGCTATGTGAGGGACAAACACTCAGAAACCAGCAGCAGTGCTCTGGAATTCTTTGTGAGGGACAAGCAAAGGGAACCAAGCTGCTGTGTTCTGGAAACTTTTGTGAGAGAAAAACATTCAGACTCTCGTAGCAGTGTTCTGGAATCCCATGTTTGGGACAAACACTCAGAACACAGCAGCAATGTTCTGGAATCCCACCTGAGGGACAAACACTCAGAATCCAGCAGCAGTGTTCTAGAATCCTTTGTGAGGGAGAAACCTTCAGACACTGGAAGCAGTGTTCTGGAAACATATGTGAGGGAGAAACACTCAGAACCCAGCAGCAGTTCTCTGTAATGTTTCTTGAGGGACAAACAAACAGAACGCAGAAGCAGTGTTCTGGAATCCTACGTGACGGACTAACACTTAAAAACCAGCAGCAGTGTTCTGGAAAGCTTTGTGAGGGACAAACATTCAGAATCTCCTAGCAGTGTTCTGGAATCCTATGTGAGGGACAAACACTCTTAACCCAGCAGCAGTGTTCTGGAATCCCATGTGAGGGACAAACACTCAGAACCCAGAAGCAGTGTTCTGGAATCCTACGTGACGAACTAACACTTAGAAACCAGCAGCAGTGTTCTGGAAAGCTTTGTGAGGGACAAACATTCAGAATCTCATAGCAGTGTTCTGGAATCCTATGTGAGGGACAAACACTCTTAACCCAGCAGCAGTGTTCTGGAATCCCATGTGAGGAACAAGCTCTCAAAACCCCACAGCGGTGTCCTGGAATCCTATGTGAGTGACAAACACTCAGAACCCAGCAGCGGCGTTCTGGAATCCTTTGTGAGGGACAAACATTCATATCTTTGAAGCAGTGTTCTGGAATCCAATATAAGGGCAAACACTCAGATCCCAGCAGCAGTGTTCTAGAATCCTTTGTGAAGGAGAAATTTTCAGACACTCGAAGCAGTGTTCTGGAAACCTATGTGAGGGAGATACACTCAGAACCCAGCAGCAGTTCTCTGTAATCCTTCTTGAGGGACAAACAAACAGAACCCAACAGCAGTGTTCTGGAATCCTACGTGAGTGACTAAGACTTAGAAACCAGCAGCAGTGTTCTGGAATCCTTTGTGAGGGACAAACATTCACAACCTCGTAACAGTGTTCTGGAATCCTATGTGAGAGACAAACACTCTTAACCCAGCTGCAGTGTTCTGGAATCCTATGTGAAGAACAAACTCTCAAAACCTGGCAGCGGTGTTCTGGAATCCTATGTGAGTGACAAACACTCAGAAACCAGCAGCAGTGTTCTAGAATCCTTTGTGAGGGACAAAAATTCAGACCTTTGAAGCAGTGTTCTGGAACCCTATGTGAGGGACAAACACTCAGATCCCAGCAGCAGTGTTCTGGATTCCTATGTGAGGGAGAAACAGTCAGAACCCAGCCACTGTGTTCTGGAATCCTATCTGAGGGACACACATTCAGGCACTCTTAGAAGTGCTCTGGAATTCTATGTGAGGGACAAACACTCAAAAACCAGCAGCGGTGCTCTGGAATCCTTTGTGAGGGACAAACAAACAGAACCAAGCAGCAGTGTTCTGGAATCTTTTGTGAGGGAAAAACATTCAGATTCTCGTGGCAGTGTTCTGGAAACCCATGTGAGGGACAAACACTAAGAACCTAGCAGCGATGTTCTGGAATCCCACTTGAGGGACAAACAATTAGAACCCAGCAGCAGTGCTCTAGAATCCTTTGTTAGGGACAAAACTTCAGACACTTGAAGCAGTGTTCTGGAAACCTAAGTGAGGGATAAACACTGAGAGCCCAGCAGTAGTTCTCTGTAATCCTTCTTGAGAGACAAACAAACAGAACTCAGCAGCAGTGTTCTGGAGTCCTCTGAGAGGACAAACACTCAGAAAACAGTAACAGTGTTCTGGAATGCTTTGTAAGGGACAAACATTCAGAACCTAGTAGTAGTGTTCTGAAATCCTGTGTGAGGTACAAACACTCTTAGCCCAGCAGCAGTGTTATAGAATCCCATGTGATGGACAAACTTTTGGAACTCAGCAGCCATGTTCTGGAATCCTATGTGAGTGACCAACATTCACAACCCAGCAGCAGTTTTCTAGAATCCTTCCTGAGGGACAAACATTCAGACCCTTGAATCAGTGTTCTGGAATCCTACGTGAGGGTCAAACACTCAAAACCCAGCAGCAGTGTTCTGGATTCCTATGTGAGGGAGAAACAATCAGAACCCAACCACTGTGTTCTGGAATACTACCTGAGGGACACACATTCAGACACTCTTAGAAGTGTTCTGGAATCCTATGTGAGAAACATTGAGAAACCAGCAGAAGTGCTCTGGAATCTTTTCTGAGGGACAAACCAACAGAACCCAGCAGCAGTGTCCTGGAATCCTTTGTGAGGGAAAAACATTCTGACCCTCGTAGGAGTGTTCTGGTATCCTATGTGAGGAACAAGCACTCAGAACCTAAGAGCATTGTTCTGGAATCCCATGTGAGGGACAAACACTCAGAACCCAGCAACAGTGTACAAGAATCCTTTGTGAGGGACAAACTTTCAGACACTCGAAGCACTGTTCTGGAATCCTATGTAAGGGACAAACACTAAGAACTCAGTCGCAGTGTTCTGGCATCCTACGTGTGGGACTAACACTCAGAACCCAGCAGCAGTTTTCTGGAATCCTCAGTGAGGGACAAACACTCAGAACATAACAGCAATGTTCTAGAATTCTATTTGAGGGACAAACACTCAAAACCCAGCAACAGTGTTCTGGAAACCTAAGTGAGGGACAAACACACAGAACCCACCAGCATTGTTCTGGAATCCTATGTGAGGGACAAACAGTCAGAACCCCGCCACTGTGTTCTGCAATCCTATCTGCGGGATAAATATTCAAACACGTGTAGAAGTGTTCTGGAATCCTACGTGAGTGACAAACACTCAGAAACCAGCAGTGTTGTTCTGGTATACTTTGTGAGGGACAAAAAAACAGAACCAAGCAGCAGTGCTCTGTAATTCTTTTTGAGGGAAAACATTCAAACCCTCATAGCAGTGTTCCCGAATCCTGTGTGAGGGACAAACACTCAGGACACAGCAGCAGTGTTCTGGAATCCTATGTGAGTGACACACATTCACAACTTCGAAGCATTGTACTGGAATCCTATGTGAGGGACAAACACTCAGATCCCAACCACTGTGTTTTGGAAAACTACCTGAGGGGCAAATATTCAGACCCTCGTAGAAGTGTTCTGGAATCCTATGTGAGGGACAAACACTAAGAAACCAGCAGCAGTGCTCTGGAATCCTTTGAGAGGGACAAAAAATAAATAAATAAACAAAACAGAAGGAAGCAGCAGTTCTCTGGAATCTTTGTGAGGGAAAAATATTCAGACCCTCGTAGTAGTGTTATGGAATCCTATGTGAGGGACACACATTCTGAACCCAGCAGCAGTGTTTTGGAATCCCTTGCGGGGGACAAACACTCAGAAACCACAAGCAGTTTTCTGGAATCCTATGTGAGGGACAAACTCTAAAAATCCAGCAGCAGTGTTCTGGAATTGTTTGTGTGGGACAAACATTCAGAACCTCGTAGCAGTGTTCTGGAAACCTATGTGAGGGACAAACACTCTTAACATAGCAGCGGTGTTCACGAATCTCATGTGAGGGACAAACACTGAGAACCCAGCAGCCGTGTTTGGGAATCCTAAGTGAGAGACAACCACTCAGAAACCAGCAGCAGTGTTCTAGAATCTTTTTTGAGGGAAAAACATTCAGACCCTCGTAGCAGAGTTCTGGAATCCTAAGTGAGGGAGAAACACTCAGAACCCAGCAGAAGCCTTCTGGAATCCTTTGTGAGGGACAAACATTCAGAACCTCGCAGTAGTGTTCTGGAATCCTATGTGAGGCACAGACACTCTTAAACCACAGCAGTGTTTTGGAATACCATCTGAGGGACAAGCACTAGGAACCTAGCAGCCGTATTCTGGCATCCTATGTGAGTGACAACCACTCAGAACCCAGCAGAAGTGTTCTAGAATCCTTTGTGTGGGACAAACATTCAGACACGAAGTAATTTTCTGGAATTATATGTGAAGGGCAAACACTCAGAACCCAGCAGTAGTGTCCTGGAATTCTTTGTGATGGACAAACATTCACGCCCTCATAGCAGTGTTCTGGAATCCTATGTGAGGGACAAACACTCAGAACCCAGTAGCAGTGTTCTGGAATCCTTAGTGAGGGACAAACGCTCAGAACCCATCAGCAGTGTTCTGGAATCCTACGTGAGGGACAAACACTCAGTACCCACCAGCAGTGTTCTGGAATTCTATGTGAGGGACAAACACTCAGAACCCAGCAGAAGCCTTCTAGAATCCTAGGTGAGGGACAAACACTCAGAACCCAGCAGCAGTGTTGTGGAATCATATGTGAGTGACAAACATTCAGAACTTTGTAGCAGTGTTCTGGAATCCTATGTGTGGGACAAACACTCAGAACCCAGCCACTGTATTCTGGAATCCTATCTGAGGGACAAACATTTAGACATTCGTAGAGGTTTTCTGGAATCCTATGTGAGGGACACACAATCAGAAACCAACAGAGGTGTTCTGGAATCCTTTGTGACGGACAAACAGAATACAGCAGCAGTGTTTTGGAATCCTACGTGAAGGACAAACATTTATAACCTCCTGGAAGTGTTCTGGAATTGTATGTGAGGGACAAACACTCAGAACGTCGCAGCAGTGTTCTGGAATCACATGTGAGTGATAAACACCCAGAACCCAGCAGCAGGTTTCTAGAATCCTTTGGGAGTGACAAACACTCAGACCCTCAAAGCACTGTTCTGGAATCGTACTTGAGAGACAATCACTCGGAAACAAGCAGCAGTGTTCTGGAATCATTTCTGACAGACAAACATTCAGACCCTCGTAGCACTGTTCTGGCATCTTATGTTAGGGACAAACACTCAGAACTCAGCAGACGTGTTCTGCTATCCTATATGAAGGAAAAGCACTCAGAACACAGCAGCAGTGTTCTGGAATCCTATGTGAGGGACAAACACCCAGAACGCAGCAGCAGTGTTCTGGAATCCTATGTGAGGGACAAATACTCAGAACCCAGCCACTGTGTTCTGGAATCCTATGTGAGGCAAAAATATTCAGACACTCATAGAAGTGTTCTGGAATCCTCTGGGAAGGACAAACACTCAGAAACCAGCAGAGATGCTCTAGAATCCTTTGAGAGGGACACGTAAACAGAACATAGCAGCAGTGTTCTGGAAACCTTTCTGAGGGAAAAACATTCAGACTCTCACAGGAGAGTTCTGCAATCCTATCTGAGGGACAAACACTCAGAACCCATCAGCAATGTTCTGGAATAACATGTGAGAGAAAAACACTCAGAACCCAGCAGTAGTGTTCTAGACTCCTTTGTGAGGGACAAACCCGCAGACACTCGAAGCAGTGTTCTGGAATCCTATGTGAGGGACAAACACTCAGAACCCAGAAGCAGTGCTCTGTAATCCTTTGTGAGGGAAAAACAGACAGAACCCAGCAGCAGTGGTCTGCAATCCTATGTGAGGGCAAACACTCAGAACCCAGCAACAGTGTTCTGGAATCCTTTGTGAGTGACAAACTTTCTCAACCTCGTAGCAGTGTTCCGGAACGCTATGTGAGAGACAAACACTCTTAACCGACCAGCAGTGTTCTGTAATTCCTATGTGAAGGACAAACACTCAGAACCCAGCAGCCGTGTTCTGGAATCGTATGTGAGTGTCAAACACTGAGAACCCAGCAGCAGTGTTCTGGAATCCTTTGTGAGGGACAAATATTCAGACACTAGAAGCAGTGTTGTGGAATCCTATGTGAACGACAAACACTCAGAATCCTACAGAAGTGTCCTGGAATCCTTTGTGTTGGACAAACATTCAGAAACTCGTAGCAGAGTTCTGGAATCCTATGTGAGGGACAAACACTGAGAACCCAGTAGCAGTGTTCTGGAATCCTTAGTGAGGAACAAACACTCAGAATCCAGCAGCACTGTTCTGGAATGCTCGTTGAGGGACAAACACTCAGAACCCAACAGCAATGCTCTTGAATTCTATGTGAGGGACAAACACTCAGAACCCATCAGCAGTGTTCTGGAATCCTACATGATGGACAAACACTCTGAACCCAGCAGCAGTGTTCTGGCATCCTATGTGAGGGACAAACACTCAGAACCCAGCCACCGTGTTCTGGAATCCTATCTGTCTGATAAATATTCAGACACTCATAGAAATGTTCTGGAATCCTAAGTGATGGAGAAACACTCAGCAATCAGCAGCAGTCCTCTGGAATCCTTTGTGAAGGATAAACAAAGAGAACCCACCAGCAGTGTTCTGGAATCTTTCTGAGTGAAAAACATTCAGAACCTAGTAGCAGTGGTCTGGAATCCAATGTGAGGGAGAAACACTCAGAACCCAGCAGCAGTGTGCTGGAATTCATAGTGAGGGACAAATATTCACAACCTCGTAGCAGTGTTCTGGAATCCTATGTGAGACACAAGCACTTTTAACCCACCAGCAGTTTTTTGGAATCACATGTGGGGGACAAACACTCAGAACCCAGTAGCAGTGTTCTAGAATCCTCTGTGAGGGACAAACATTCAGACATTCGAAGCAGTTTTCTGGAATCCTATGTGAGGGGCAAACAATCAGAAACCAGCAGCAGTGTTCTGGAATCCTTTGTGATGGACACACATTCAGACCCTTGTAGCAGTGTTCTGGAATCCATTCTGAGGGACAAACACACAGAAACCAGCAGCAGTGTTCCAGAATCCTTTGTGATGGACAAACACTCAGAACGCAGTAGCAGTGTTCTGGAATCATAGGTGATGGACAAACACTGAGAACACAGCAGCAGTGTTCTGGAATTCTGTGTGAGGGAAAAACACTCAGAACACAGCTGCAGTGTTCTGGAATCCTATGAGAGCGACAAACCTTCAGAACTTCATAACAGTGTTCTGGAATCCTATGTGGGAGACAAACACTCAGAACCCAGCCACTGTTTTCTGGGATCCTACTTGAGGGACAAACATTCAGACACTAGTAGAGGTGTTCTGGAATCCTATGTGAGGGACAAACACTCAGAACCCAGCAGCAGTATTGTGGAATTCTATATGATGGACAACCACTCAGAACCCAGTGGCAGTGTTCTGGAATCCCATGTAAGGGACAAACACTCAGAACCCAGCAGCAGTGTTCTGGAATCCTTTGTGCAGGACAAACACTCAGAACCCAGCCAATGTGTTCTGGAATCCTATCAGAGGGACAAACATTCAGACACTTGTAGAAGTGTTCTGGAATCCTATGTGAGGAAGAAACACTCAGAAACAAGCAACGGTGCCCTGGAATTATTTGTGAGGAAAAAACAGAACCCAGCAGCAGCGTTCTGGAATCCTATGTGATGGAAAAACTTTCAGAAACCAGCAGGAGTGTTCTGGAATCTTCTGTGAGGGACAAACAATGAGAACCACGTATCAGTGCTCTGGAATCCTATGTGAGGGACAAACATTCTTAACCCGGCTTCAGTGTTCTAGAATCTCATGTGACGGACTGAAACTCAGAACCCAGCAGCCGTGTTCTGGAATCCTATGTCAGTGATCAACACTCAGAAACCAGCAACAGTTTTCTCGAATCCTTTGTGACGGACAAACATTCATACACTAGGAGAAGTGTTCTGGAATCCTATGTGAGGGACAAACACTCAGAAACTAGCAGCGGTTCTCGGCAATACTTTGTGAGAGACAAACATAACCCAGCAGCAGTGTTCTGAAATCCTTTGTGAGGATAAAACATTCAAAACCTCTCACCAGTGTTCTGGAATCCTATGAGAGGGCCAAACATTCAGAACCCAGCAGCAGTGTTCTGGAATCCCATGTGAGGGACAAATACTCAGAATCCAGCAGCAGTGTTCTAGAATCCTTTGTGAGGGACAAACCTTCAGACACTCGAAGGAGTGTTCTGGAATCCCATGTGAGGGACAAACACTCAGTAACCAGCAGCAGTGCTCTGTAATCCTTTGTGTGGGAAAAACAGAACCCAGCAGCTGTGTTCTGGATTCGTATGTGAGGGACAAACTCTGAGAATCCAGCAGCAGTGTTGTGGGATCGTTTTTGAGGGGCAAACATTCAGAATCTTGTAGCAGTGTTCTGGAATCCTATGTGAAGGACAAACACTCTGAAACTAGCAGCAGTGTTCTGGTATCCTGTGTGAGGGACAAATACTCAGAACCCAGCAACTGTGTTCTGGAATCCCATGTGAGGGACAAGCACTCAAACCTAGAAACACTGTTCTGGAATCCTATGTGAGGGACGAACATTCAGACCCTTGAAACAGTGTTCTGGAATCCTATGTGAGGGACAAACACTCAGAACCCAGCAGCAGTGTTGTGGAATCCTATGTGAGTGACAAACACTCAGAACCCGTCAACATTGTTCTGGAATCCTATGTAAAGGACAAACAGTCAGAACCCAGCAACAATCCTCTCTAATCCTTTGTGAGGGACAAACACACAGAACCCAGCAGCAGTGTTCTTGAATCCTTTGTGAGGGAAAAACATTCAGACCTTCGAAGCAGTGTTCTGGAGTCCTATGTGAGGGAAAAACACTCAGAACCCAGCAACATTGTTCTGGAATCCTATGTGAGGGACAAACACTCAGAACCCAGCAGCAATGTTCTGGAATCCTATGTGAGGGACAAACATTCAGAAGTTCTTAGGAGTGTTCTGGAATCCAATGTGAGGGACAAACACTCAGAACCCAGCTGCAGTGTTCTTCAATCCTATGTGAAGGACAAACACTCAGAACCCAGCAGCAGTGTTCTGGAATGCTATGTGAGTGTCAAACACTCAGAACCCAGCAGCAGTGTTCTGGAATCCTTTGTGAGGGACAAGCATTCAGAACCTCATAGCAGTGTTCAGCAATCATATGTAAGGGACAACTGTGAACCGAGCAGCAGCAGTGTTTTTGAGTCCCATGTGAGGGACAAACACTCCGAAATCCGCAGCTGTGTTCTGGAATCCTACGTGAGGGACAAACACTCGGAACCCTGCAACAGTGTTCTGGATTCATTTGTCACGGACAAACATTCAGACTGTCGTAGCAGTGTGGTGGTATCCTATTTGAAGGACAAACCCTCAGAAACCAGAAGCAGTGCTCTGGATTGCCTTGTGAGGTACAAACAAGCAGAACCCAGCAGCAGATTTCTGGAATCCTTTGTGAAGGACAATCATTCAAACCCTCGGAGCATTGTTGTGGAATCCAATGTGAGGGACAAAAGCTCAGAAACCTGCAGCAGTGTTCTGGAATCCTATGTGAGGGACAAGCTTTCAGACCCTCATAGCACTGTTTTGGAATGCTCTGTGAAGGACAGATATTCAGACCCTCGTAGCAGGATTCTAGAATCGTATGTGAGCCACAGGCCATCAGAACCCTGCATGTGTGTTCTGGAATTCTACGTGAGGGACAATCCCTCAGAACATTGCAGCAGTTTTCTGGATTCCTATGTGAGGGACAGACACTCAGAACCCTGCAGTAGTGTTCTGGAATCCTATGTGATTGATAAACATTAAAAACACAGCAGCAGTGTTCTTGTATCCCACATGATGCACAAACACACAGAACCCTGACAAAGTGTCCTGGAATCCTAAGTGAGTGACAAACACTCACAACCCAGCAGCAGTGTTCTGGAATCCTTTGTGAGGGACTAACATTCAGACCCTCCTAGCAGTGTTCTGGAATTATATGTGAGGGTCATACACAGAAACCAGCAGCAGTGTTCTGGAATCCTATGTGAAGGACGAATAGCAAGAACCCAGCAACTGTTTGGGAATTTTATGTGGGGGACAAACCCTCAGAAAGAAGCAGCAGTGTTATAAAATCCTTTGTGAGGACAAACATTCAGACACTCATAGCACTGTCCTGTAATGCTATATAAGGGAAAAACATTCAGACCCTCGTATCAGTGTTCTGAAATCCTATGTGAGGGACAAACACTCAGAAAACAGCAGCAGTGTTCTGGAATCCTATGTGAGGGACAAACACTCAGAACCCAGCCGCAGTGTAAGGGATTTCTACGTGAGGGACAAATATTCAGACACTCAGAACACTGTTTTGGAATCCTAAGTGAGGGACAAACACTCAGAACCCCGCAGCAGTGTTTTGGAATCCTATGTGAGGGACAATAATTGAGAACCTCAAAGCACTGTTCTGGAGTGCTCTGTGAGGGACAAACATTCAGACCCTCGTAGCAGTATTCTGTAATCCTATGTGAGGCACAAACCCTCAGAACTCAGCAGCAGTGTTCTTGAATTCTATGTGAGGGACAAACCCTCAGAAACTAGCAGCAGTATTCTGGAATCCCATGTGAGGGACCAATACTCAGAACCCTGCAGCAGTGTTCTGGAATGCTATGTGAGGGACAAACACAAAAAACCCAGCAGCAGTGTTCTGGCTTCCTATATGAGGGACAAACATTCAGAACCCAGCAGAATTGTTCTGGAATCCTATGTGAGGGACAAACACTCACAAACCAGCAGCAGTGTTTTGGAATCCTATGTGAGGGACAAACATTCAGACTCTCGGAGCAGTGTTCTGGAATCCTATGTGAAGGACAAACACTCAGAACCCAGTATCAGTGCTCTGGAATCCTATGTGAGAGACAAGGATTCAGACACTCGTAGCAGTAATACAGAATGCCTTCTGAGGAACAAACTTTGAGACCATCCCAGCATTGTTCTGGAATCGTAGGTGAGGGACAACCATTCAGAACCCAGCAGTGTTCCGGAATCCTTGGTGAGGAAAAAACTTTCAGACCCTCCAAGCAGAGTTCTGGAATCCTATGTTTGGGACAAACACTCAGAACATAGCAACTGTGTTCTGCAATCCGATGTGAGGGACAAACATTGAGAACCCACTAGCGGTGCTCTGGAATCCGTTGTGACCGACAAACTTACTGACCCCTGTAGCAGTGTTTCAGAATCCCATGTGTTGGAGAAACCCTCAGAACACAGCAGGAGAGTTCTAGAATTCTAGTGAGGGACAAACCCTCAGAAACTAGCAGCAGTATTCTGCAATCCTATGTGAGGGACAAACGCTCTGAACACAGCAGCAGTGTTCTGGAACTCGTTGACAGAGACAAGCTCTCAGATCCAAGCACCAGTTTTCTGGAATCCTATGTGAGGGAAAATCACTCTGAACTCAGCAGCAGTGTTCTGGAATCCCAAGTTAGGGACAAACACTCAGAACCCAGCAGCATTGTTCTGGAATCCTATGTGAGTGACAAACCCTAAGAAACCAGAAGCAGTGTTCTAGAATCCTCTGTGAGGGACAAATATTCAGAAAAACGAAGGAGGGTTGTGGAATCCTATGTGAGAGACAACCATTCAGATCCCAGCAGCAGTGTTCTGGAATCCTTTGTGATGGACAAACATTCAGACCCCAGTAGCAGTTTCCTAGAATCCTATGTGAGTCGCAAACCTTCAGAAGCCAGCAGCAGTGTTCTGAAATCGTATGTGAGCAACAAACTTTCAGATATTAGTAGCAGTATTCTGGAATCCTATGTGGGGGACAAACTTTCAGAACCCAGCCAGTGTGTTCTGGAATCCTATCTGAGGGACAAACATTCAGACAGTCGTAGAAGTATTCTGGAATCCAAACTGAGGGACAAACACTCAGAAACCAGAAGCAGTGCTCAGGAATCCTTTGTGAGGAACAAACATACAAAACTCAGCAGCTGTGTTTTGGAATTCTATGTCAGCCTCAAACACTCAGAAAACAGCAGTATTGTTCTGGATTCCTAAGAGAGGGACAAACACTCAGAACCCAGCAGCAGTGTTCTGGAATCCTAGGTGAGTGACAAACACTCAGAACCCAATAGCAGTGTGCTGGAATCCTATTTGAGGGACAAACACTCAGAACCCAACAGCAGTGTGCTGGAATCCTATGTGAGGGACAAACACTCAGAACCAAGCAGGAGTGTTCTAGAATCCTTTGTGAGGCACAAACACTCAGAACCCAGCAGCAGTGTTCTGGAATCCTTTATGAGGGACAAATGTTCAGAACCTCATGGCAGTGTTTTGGAATCCTATGTGAGTGAAAAACACTCAGAACCCAGCAGCAGTGTTCTAGAATCCGTTGTGAGGGAAAAACCTTCAGAACCTTGAAGCAGTGTTCTGGAATCGTATATGACGGACAAACACTCAGAACCCAGCAGCAGCGTTCTGGAATCCTATTGAGGGACAAACACTAAGTTTTCATCCCCTGTGTTCTCGAATACTATGTGAGGGACAAACATTCAGTCACTCAAAGAAGTGTTCTGGAATACTATGTGAGGGACAAACACTCAAAAACCAACAACAGTGCTCTGGATTCAATTGTGGGGGACAAACACTCAGTACCCAACAGAAGTGTCCTCCAATCCTTTGTGAGGGACAAACACTCAGAACCCAGCAGCAGTGTTCAGGAATCCTTTGTGATGGGCAAACATTCAGACCCTCGTAGCCGTGTCCTCGAATCCTATGTTAGGGAAAAACAACAAGAACTCAGCAGCAGTGTTGTGGAATCCTATGTGAGGAAAAAACACTCAGAACACAGCAGCAGTGTCTTGGAATACCGTGTGATCAACAAAGATTCATAACTTCATAGCCATGTTCTGGAATCCTTTATGAGTGAAAAACACTCAGAACCCAGAAGCAGTGTTCTAGAATCCTTTATGAGAGACAAAGTTTCAGACCCTCGAAGCAGTGTTCTGGAATCGTATCTGAGTGACAAGCACTCAGAATCCAGCAGCTGGGTTCTGGAATCCTATGTGAGTGACAAACACTCAGAGCCCAGCAGCAGTGTTTTGGAATCCTATGCAAGGGACAAACACTCAGAACCCAGCCACTGTGTTCCAGAATCCTGTCTGAGGGACAAACATTCAAACACTCGTAGAAGTGTTCTGTAATCCTATGTGAGGGACAAACACTCGGATACCAGCAGCAGTGATCTGGAATCATTCAGGAGTGACAAACACTCAGAACACAGCAGCACTGTTCTGGAATCCTTTCTTAGGGACAAACATTCAGAATTTCGTAGCAGTGTTCTGCAATCCTAAGTGAGGGACAAACACTAAGAACCCAGCAGCAGTGTTGTGGAATCATTTGTGACGGACAAATATTCATATCCTCTAAGCATTGTTCTGGAATCCTTTGTTAGGGACAAACATTCAGACACTCATAGCAGTGTTCTGTAATCGTAAGTGAGGGACAAACACTCAGAAACCTGCAGCAGTGTTCTGGAATCATATGTGAGGAAAAACACGCAGAAATCAGTAGCAGTGTTCTGGAATCCTATGTGAGCGACAAACACTAAGTACCCAGCAGCAGTGTTCTGGAATCCTATGTGAGGCACAAACCCTCAGAACCAAGCCACTGTGTTCTGGAATCTTACCTGAGGGACAATATTCAGACACCCGTAGAAGTGTTCTGGTAGCCTATGTGAGGGAGAAACACTCAGAAACCAGCAGCTGTGTTATGGAAACATTTGTGAGGGACAAATAAACAGAACCGAGAAGCAGAGTTCTGGAATCCTTTGTGAGGTAAATATATAAAGACCCTCGTAGCAATGTTCTGGAATGCTGTGTGAGAAACACACACTCAGAGACGACAGCAGTGTTCCGGACTACTATGTGAGGGACAGACCCTCAATTCCCAGCAGTAGTGATGTGAAATCCTATGTGAGCGACAAACATTCAGAACTTCGTAGCAGTGTTCTGGAATCCTATGTGGGGGACAAACACTCAGAACCCAGCCACTGTGTTCTGGAATCCTATCTGAGGGACAAACTTTCAGACACTCGTAGGAGTCTCTGGAATCCTATGTGAGGAACAAACACTCAGAACCCAGAAGCAGTGTTCAGTAATCGTTTGTGAGGGACAAACATTCAGAACCTCAAAGCAGTGTTCTGGAATATTATGTGAGGGCCACTCAGAACCCAGCAGCAGTGTTCAGTAATCGTTTGTGAGGGACAAACATTCAGAACCTCAAAGCAGTGTTCTGGATTATTATGTGAGGGCCAAACACTCTGAACCCAGCAGCAGAGTTCTGGAATCCCATGTGAGGGACAAACACTCAGAACCCAGCAGCAGTGTTCTGGAATACTTTCTGAGGGACCAACATTCAGAATCTTATAGCACTGTTCTGGAATCCTAAGTGAGAGACAAACACTCAGAACCCAGGAGCAGTGTTCTGGAATCCTATTGAGGGACAAACACTCAAAACCCAGAAGCAGTGTTCTAGAATCCTTCATGAGGGACAAACATTCATATCCTCAAAGCAGTGTTCTGGAATCCTATGTGAGGGACAAAAACTCAGAACCCAGCAGCAGTGTTCTGGAAACTTTGGATTAGACCAACATTCAGACCCTCGTACCAGTGTTTTGGAATCCTATGGGATAGACAAACACTCAGAACCCAGACACTGTGTTCTGGAATCCTATGTGAGGGACAAACACTCAGAATTCAGCACCATGCTCTGCAATCCTTTGTGG
This sequence comes from Homo sapiens, assembly GCF_000001405.40. Lineage (NCBI taxonomy): Eukaryota > Metazoa > Chordata > Mammalia > Primates > Hominidae > Homo > Homo sapiens. The sequence continues at coordinate 15,380,983 of NC_000022.11, forward strand.
GGGACAAACACTCAGAATGCAGTAGCAGTTTTCTGGAATCCTTTGTGAGGGGCAAATATTCAGACCCTCGTTGCTGTGTTCTGGAATCCTATGTGAGGGACAAATACTAAGGAACCAGCAGAAGTGTTCTAGAATCCTCATTGAGGGAAAAAAAATTCAGAACATCGAAGCAGAGTTCTGAAATCCTATGTGAGGGACAAACACTCAGATCCCAGCATCATTGTTCTGGAATCCTTTGTGATGGACAAACATTCAGAACCTCGTAGCACTTTTCTGGAATCCTATGTGAGTGACAAACATTCAGAACCAAGCATCAGTGTTCTGAAATCGTATGTGAGTGACAAACATTCAGATATAAGTAGCAGTATTCTGGAATCCTATGTGGAGGACAAATAGTCACATTCCAGCCACTGTGTTCTGGAATCCTGAGGACCAAACATTCAGGCACTCGTAGAATTGTTCTGGAATCCTATGTGAGGAGGAAACACTCAGATACCAGAAGCAGTTCTCAGGAATCCTTTGTGATGGACAAACATACAGAACTCAGCAGCAGTGTTTTCGAATCCTATGTTAGTGACAAACACTCAGAAACCTGCAGCAGTGTTCTGTATCCTATGTGAGGAAAAAACACTCAGAACCCAAAAGCAGTGCTCTGTAATCCTTTGTGAGAGACAAACAAACAGAACACAGCAGCAGTGTTCTGGAATCCTATGTGGGGCTCAAAAACTCGGAACCCAGCAGTAGTGTTATGGAATCCTTTGTGAGGGAAAAACATTCAGAATCTCGCAGCAGTGTTCTGGAATGCTATGTGAGGGACAAACATTCTTAAACCAGGAGCAGTGTTCTGCATTCCCATGTGAGAGACAAACACTCAGAAACCAGCAGGTGTGTTCTGGAATCCTATGTGAGTGACAAACACTCAGAAAAAAGCAGCAGTGTTCTAGAATCCTTAGTGAGGGGAAACATTCAGACACTCAAAGCAGTGTTCTGCAATCCTACGTGAGGGACAAACACAGAGAATCCAGCAGCAGTGTTCTGGAATCCTTTGTGAGGGACAAACATTCAGAACATCATAGGAGTGTTCTGGAATCATATGTGAGGGACAAATACTGTGAAGCCAACGGCATTGTTCTGGAATCTGATGTGAGGGATAAACACTCAGAACCCAGCAGCAGTGTTCTGGAATCCTATGTGAGTGACAAACACTCAGAACCCAGCAGCAGTGTCCTTCAATCCCATGTGAGGCACAAACACTCAAAACCCAGCCACAGTGTACTGGAATACTATCTGAGGGACAAACATTCACACCCTCGTAGAAGTGTTCGGGAGTCCTATGTGAGGGACAAACTCTAAGAAACCAGCAGCAGTGCTCTGGAATCCTTTGGGAGGGAAAAACACTCAAAACCTCCTATCAGTGTTCTGTGATCCGATGTTAGGGAAAAACATTCAAACCCTCGTAGTAGTGTCCTGGAATCCTACATGAGGGACAAACCCTCAGAACCCAGCAGCAGTGTTCTGGAATCCCACGTGAGGGAAAAACATTCAGACCCTCGTAGCATTGTTCTGGAATCCAAAATGAGGGACAAACACTCAGAACCCAAAAGCTGTATTCTGGAATCCCATGTGAGGGACACAGACTCAGATCCCAGCAGCAGTGTTCTGGAATCCTATTTGAGGGACAACCCCTCGGAACACAGTAACTGTGAACTGGAGTCGAATCTGAGGGACAAACATTCAGACATTCGTAGAAGTGTTCTGGAATCCTATGTGAGGGACAAACACAGGAAACCAGCAGCAGTGCTCTAGAATCCTTTGTGAGGGACAAACATACAGATCCCAGAAGCAGTGTTCCAGAATAATTGTGAGGGAAAAACATTCAAACACTCGTAGCAGTGTTCTGGAATCCTATGTGAGGGACAAACACTCAGAACCCAGCAGCAGTGTTCTGGAATCCTATGTGAGCAACAAACATTCAAAACTTTGTAGCAATGTTCTGATATTCTATGTGAGGGCAAACACTCAGAACACAGCAGCAGTGCTCTGGAATCGTAAGTGAGGGACAAACACTCAGAACCCAGCAGCCGTGTGCTGGAATCCTATGTGAGGGACAAACTCTCAGAATCCATCAGCAGTGTTCTGGTATCCTACGTGAGTGACAAACACTCCGAACACAGCAGCAGTGTTCCAGTATCTTTGTGAGGGGCAAACACTCAGAACCCAGCAGCAGTGTTCTAGAGTCCTTTGTGAGGGACAAACATGCAGAACCTCTCAGCAGTGTTCTCAAATCATAAGTTTGGGACAAACAATGTGAACACAGCAGCAGTGTTTTGGAATAACCTGTGAGGCACAAACACTCAGAACCCAGCAGCAGTGTTCTGGAATCCTATGTGAGTGACAAACACTCAGAACCCAGCAGCAGTGTTCGACAATCCTTTGTGAGGGACAAACCTTGAGACCCTCGAATCAGTGTTCTGGAATCCTATGTGTGGGACAAACCCTCAGAACCCAGTAGAAATTTTCTAGAATCCTTTGTGTCAGACAAACATTCAGACCGTTGCAGCAGTGTTTTGGTATCCTATGTGAGGGACAAACACTCAGAATGCAGGAGCAGTGTTCTAGAATCCTATGTGAGTGAAAAACACTCAGAACCGCGGAGCAGTGTTCTAGAGTCCTATGTGAGTGAAAAACACTCAGAACCCCGCAGTAGGGTTCTAGAATCCTATGTGAGGGAAAAACACTCAGAACCCCGCAGTAGGGTTCTGGAATCCTATGAGAGGAACAAATACTCGGAATGCAGCAGCAGTGTTCTGGAATCCTATATGAGGGAAAAACACTCAGAACCCAGCTACTCTGTTCTGGAATCCTATCTGAGGTACAAACATTCAGACACGGGAAAAAGTGTTCTGGAAACCTGTATGAGGGACAAACACTCAGAAAACAGCAGCAGTGCTCTCGAATCATTTGTGAGGGACAAACAAACAGTACACAGCAGCAGTAGTCTGGAATCCTATGTGAGGGAAAACCTCTCAGGACCCAGAAGTAGTGTTATGAAATCTCTTGTGAGGGACAAACATTCAGAACCTTGTAGCAGTGTTCTGGAATCCTTTCTGAAGAGAAACATTCAGACCCTCATAGCAGTGTTCTGGAATTCTATGTTAGGGACAAACACTCACCCCCAGCAGCAGTGTTCTGGAATCCTATGTGAGGGACAAACACTCAGAACCCAGCAGCAGTGTTCTAGAATCCTTTTTGAAGGACAAACATTCAGAACCTCGTAGCAGTGTTCTGGAATCTTATGTGAGGGACAAACACTCTGAACCCAACAGCAGTGTTTTCAAATCCCATGTGAGGGACAAACACTCTGAACCCAGTAGCAGTGTTCTGTAATCCTATGTGAGGAACAAACACTCTGAACCCAGCAGCAGTGTTTTCAAATCCCATGTGAGGGACAAACACTCAGAACGCAGCAGCAGTGTTCTGTAATCCTATGTGAGTGAAAATCATTCAGAACGCAGAAGCAGTGTTCTAGAATCCTTTGTGTGGGACAAACTTTCAGACCCTCGATGCAGTGTTTTGGAATCGTATGTGAGTTATAAACACTCAGAACCCAGAAGCTGGGCTCTGGAATCCTATTTGAGGGACAAACAGTCAGAACCTGGCAGCAGTGTTCTGGAATTCTATGTGAGGGACAACCCTCATAACCCAGCCACTGTATTCTGGAATCCTATCTGAGGGACAAACATTCAGACACTTGTAGAAGTGTTCTGGAATACTATGTGAGGGTCAAACACTCAGAACAAAGCAGCAGTGGTCTGGAATCCTCTGTGAGGGACAAACCCTCAGAACACAGCAACAGTGTTCGGGTGTCCTAAGTGAGGGACAAACACTCAGTACCCACGAGGAGTGTTCTGCAATCCAATGTGAGGGACAACCACTCAGAACCCAGCAGCAGTGTTCTGTAATCCTATGTGGAGGACAAACACACGGAACCCTGCAGCAGTGTTCTGGAATCCTATGTGAGGGACAAGCGTTCAGAACCTCATAGCACTGCACTGGAATTCTATGTGAGGGACAAAAATTCAGACCCTCCTAGCAGTGTTCTGGAATCCTATGTGAGGTACAAATCCTCAGAATGGAGCAGCAGTGTTCTGGAATTCGATGTGAAGGATAAGCCTCAGAACCTAGCGGCGGAGTTCTGGAATACAAAGTGAGGGACAAACACTCAGAACACAGCAACAGTGTTCTGGAATGTTAGGTGAGGAACAAACACTCCGAACATATCAGCTGTGTTCTGGAATTCTATATGAGGGACAAACCCTCAGAACCCAGCAGCATTGTTCTAGAATTCTATATGAGGGACAAACACTCAGAACCCAGCAGCAGTGTTCTGGAATCCTATCTGAGGGACAAACACTCAGAATGCAGCAGCAGTGTTCTGAAATCCTATGTGAGAAAAAACACTGAGAACCCAGTAGAAGTTTTCTGGAATCCTATGGGAGAGCTCAGCTTTCAGACACTCATAGGAGTGACAGAATCCTATGTGAGGGACAATGATTCAGACCCTCATTGCAGTATTCTGGAATCCTATCTGAGGGACAAACATTCAGACCTTCGTAGCAGTTTTGTGGAATCCTATGTGAGGGACAAACACTCAGAATGCAGCAGCAATCTTCTGGAATCCTATGTGAGGGACAAACACTCAGAACACAGCAGCAGTGTTCCAGAATACTTTGTGAGGGACAAACATTCAGACAATCTTAACAGTGTTCTGAAATCCTATGTGAGGGACAAACAGTCAGAACCCAGCAGCAGTGTTTTGGAATCCTATGTGAGGAACAAACCCTCAGAACCGAGCAGCAGTGTTCTGGAATCTAATGTGAGGGACAAACACTTAGAACCCAGTGGCAGTGTTCTGTAATCGTTTGTGAGGGACAAACATTCAGACCTTCATAGCAGTGTTCTCGAATCCTATGTGAGAGACAAACACTAAGAATGCTGCAGCAGTGTTCTGGAATCCCATGTTAGTGACAAACACTCAGAGCCCAGTAGCAGTGTTCTAGAATCCTTTGTGAGAGTCAAATACTGATACCCTCAGAGCAGTGCTCTGGAATCCTATGAGACGGACAAACACTCAGAACCCTGCAGTAGTGTTCTGCATTCCAATGTGAGGGACAAGCATTCAGACCCTCATAGCACTGTTCTAGAATTCTCTGTGAGGGACAAACATTCAGACCCTCGTCGCATTGTTCTGGAATACTATGTGAGGTACAAACCCTCAGAAATCAGCAGCAGTATTCTGTTATTCCTTGTGAGGGACAAACAATCAGATCAAGCAGCATTGTTCTGAAATGCTTTGTGATAGACAAACTTTGAGACCATCGTAGCAGCTTTATGGAATCTTTTGTGAGGCACAAAAACTCATTACCCAGCAGCAGTGTCCTGGAATCCTACGTGAGAGACAAACACTCAGAAACCAGCCACTGTGCAGTGGAATCCTATCTGAGGGACAAATGTTCAGAAATTTGCAGAAGAGTTCTGGAATCCTATGTGCAGGACAAACACTGAAAAACCAGCATCAGTGTTCCGGAATCACTTTTGAGAGACAAACAAACAGAAACCAGCAACAGTGTTCTGGAAGCCTTTGTGAGGGAAAAACATTCTGACCCTCATAGCAGTGTTCTGGAATCCTATGTGCCGGACAATCACTCAGAAGTTAGCAGCACTGTTGTGGTATCCTATGTGAAGGACAAAGATTCAGAACCCAAAATAAGTGTTCTGGAATCCTAAGTGAGGGACAAACTCTAACAACCCAGCAGCAGTTGTCTGTAATTTTTTGTGAGGGACAAATATTCAGACTCTCGAACCAGTGTTCTGGAATCCTATGTGAGGGACAAACCTTCAGAGCCTCGTAGCACTGTTTTGGAATCCTATGTGAGGGACAAACACTCAGAACCCAGCAGCAATTTTTCTGGAATCCTATGTCAGCGACAAACACTCAGAACAAAGCAGCAGTGTTCTGGAATCCTTTGTGAGGAAGAAACATTCAGAACCTCATAGGATTGTTCTGGAATCATATATGAGGGACAAATACTGTGAAGCCAATGACATTGTTCTGGAATCTGATGTGAGGGACAAACACTCAGAACCCAGCAGCAGTGTTCTGGAATCCTATGTGAGTGACAAACACTCAAAAACCAGCAGCAGTGTTCTGGAATCATTTGTGAGGGACAAACATTCAGACCCTAGAAGCTGTGTTCTGGAATCCAATGTGAGGGACAAACACTCTTATCACAACAGGAGTGTTCTGCAATTCTTTCTGACAGACAAACATTCACATCCTCTTAGCATTTCTCGGGAATCCTATGTGAGTGAGGAACACTCAGAACCCAGCAACAGTGTTCTTGAGTCCTATGTGAGGAACAAACACTCACAATGCAGCCACTGTGTACTGGAGTCCTATCTGAGGGTCAAACATTCACACCCTCATAGAAGTGTTCTGGAATCCTTTGTGAGGGACAAACTCTAAGAAACCAGCAGCAGTGTACCGGAATCCTTTGGGAGGGAAAAACACTCAGAACCTCCTAGCAGTGTTCTTGGATCCTATGTCAGAGAAAAACATTCTGACCCTCGTAGCAGTTTTCTGGAATCATATATGAGGGACAAACACTGAGAACCCAGCAGCAGTGTTCTGGAATCCTATGTGAGGGACAAACATTCAGGAAACAGTAGTAGTGCTCTAGAATCCTTTGTGAGGGACAAACACTCAGAATGCAGCAGCAGTGTTCTAGAATCCTTTGTTAGGTACAAACATTCAGAAACTTGTAGAAGAGTTCTGGAATGCGATGTGAGGGACAAACACTCAGAATCCAGCCACTGTGTACTGGAATCCTATTGACGGCAAACATTCAGAACCTCGTAGAAGTGTTCTGGAATTCTATGTGAGAGACAAACACTAAGAAATCTGCAGCACTGTTCTATAATCCTTTCTGAGGGACAAACAACAGAATCCGGTAGCAGTGTTCTACATTCTCTATGAGGGAAAAACATTCAGAACCTCGTAGCATTATTCTTTAATCCCATATGAGGGACAAACACTCAGAACCCAGTAGCAGTGTTCTGGATCCCTTTGTGAGGGATAAACATTCAGACATTCCTAGCAGTGTTCAGGAATCCTATGTGAGTGATATAATTTCAGAACTTCGTAGCACTGTTCTGGAATTCTATTAGAGGGACAAACACTCAGGAGCCAGCAGCAGAGTTCTAGAATCCTATGTGAGGGAGAAACACTCATAAAAAAGCAGCAGTGTCCTGGAATTCTATGTGAGGGACAAACACACAGAACCCAGCAGCAGTGTTGTAGAATCCTTTGTGAGGGACAAACACTCAGAACCCAGCAGTAGTGTTCTGGAATCCTTTGTGAGGGACAAACATTCAGAACATCGTAGCTGTGTTCTGAAATCCCATGTGAGGGACAAACAGTCAGAATCCAGCCAATGAGAATTGCCATCCTATCTGAGGGCAAACACTCAGAACCTCGTAGAAGTGTTCTGGAATCCTATCTGATGGACAACACTAAGAAATCTGCAGCACTGTTCTGGAATCCTTTGTGAGGGACAAACAAACAGAACACAGTAGCACTGTTCTACAATCCTTTGTGAGGGAAACACATTCAGACTCTCGTAGCAGTGTTCTGGAATCCTATGTGAGGGGAAAACTTTCAGAACATCGTGGCAGAGTTCTGGAATCCTGTACGAGGGAGAAACACTCAGAACCCATTAGCAGTGTTCTGAAACCCTTTGGGAGGGAGAAACACTCACACTCTCATAACAGTGTTCTGGAATCCTATGTGAGGGAAAATCACTCAGATCCTTGTAGCAGGGTTCTGAATCCCTTTCTGAGGGATAAACATTCAGACCCTTGTAGCAGTCTTCTGGAATCCTATGTGAGGGACAAACAGTCAGAACCCAGCAGCAGTGTTCTGGAATCCTATGTGTAGGACAAATACTCAGAACTCAGCAGCAGTGTTCTGGCAACCTAAGTGAGCGAAAAACTTTCAGAACTTCGTAGCAGTGTTCTGGAATTCTATGTGAGGGGCAAACACTCAGAAGCCAGCAGCAGTGCTGTGGAATCCTATGTGAGGGACAAACACTCAGAATCCAGCCACCGTGCACTGGAATCCTATCTGAGGGCAAATATTCAGAACCTCAGAGAAGGGTTCTGGAATCCTATGAGGGACAAACACTAAGAAATCTGCAACAGTGCTCTGGAATCCTTTGGAGGGACAAGCAAACAGAACCCTGTAGCAGTGTTGATCAGTCCTTTGTGAGGGAAAAACATTCAGACCCTTGTAGCAGGGTTCTGGAATCCTATGTGAGGGAAAAATATTCAGACCCTTGTAGCAGTGTTTTGGAGTTCTATATGAGTGACAGACACTCCGAACCCAGCAGCAGTGTTCTGGAAACATTTGGGAGGGAAAAATATTCACACCCTCGTTAAAGTATTCTGGAATCCTATGTGAGGGAAAAAGATTCAGATCCTGATAGCATTGTTTTGGAATCCAATATGAAGTATGAACACTCAGAACCCAGTAGCAGTGTTCTGGAACCCTTTGTTGGGCATAAACATTCAGCCCCTCGTAGCAATGTTCTGGAATCCTATGTGTGGGACAAACACTCAGAACCCAGCAGCAGTGTTCTGGAATCCTATGTGAGGGACAAACTCTCAGAAAAAAGCAGCAGTGTTCTGGAAACCTATGTGGAGACAAACTCTCAGAAATTTGTAGCAGTGTTCTGGAATTCTATGTGAGGGACAAACACTCAGAACCCAGCAGCAGTGTTGTGGAATCCTAACTGAGAGACAAACACTCAGCACCCAGCATCAGTGTTCTGGAATCCAATGTGAGGGACAAACACTCAGAACCCAGCAGCAGTGTACTGTAATCCTTTGTGAGGGAGAAACATTAAGAAACTCGTAGCAGTGTCCTGAAATTCTATGTGAGGGACAAATATTCAGAATCTAGCCATTGTGTACTGGAATCCTATCCAAGCACAAACATTCAGAACATCGTAGAAGTATTCTGGAATCCTATGTGAGGGAATAACACTAAGAAATCTGCAGCAGTGCTCTGAAATCCTTTGTGAGGTACAAACAGAACCCAGTTGCAGTGTTCTACAATCCTTAGTGAGGGAAAATCTTTCAGACCCTCATAGCAGTCTTCTGGAATCCTATGTGAGGGAAAAACATTCAGAACCTTGTAGCACTGTTCTGGAATCCTATATGAGGGAAAAACACTCAGAACACAGCAACAGTGTTCTGGAATTATTTGGGAGGGAAAAATATTCACACCCTCGTAACAGTGTTCTCGAATCCTATATGAGGGGAAAACATTTAGAAACTCGCAGCATTGTTCTGGAATCCAATATGAGGGGAAAACACTCAGAACTCCATAGCAGTGTTCTGTAAACCTTTGTGAGGAATAAACATTCAGAACCTCGTAGCTGTGTTCTGGAATCCTACGTGAGGGAGAAATCCTCAGAACTCAGCAGCAGTGTTGTGGAATCCTATGCAAGGGACAAACCCTCAGAATCCAGCAGCAGTGTTTTGGAATCTTATGTAAGCGACAAACTTTCAGAACTTCATAGCCCTGTTCTGGAATTCTATGTGAGGGACTGACACTCAGAACCAAGAAGCAGTGTTCTGGAATCCTAAGTCAGGGACAAACACTCAGAACCCAGCAGCAGTGTTCTCGAATCCTATGTGAGGCACAAGTACTTAGAACTCAGCAGTAGTGTTCTAGAATTATTTGTGAGGCACAAACACTCAGAAATCAGCAGCAGTGTTCTAGAATCTTTTTTGTGTGACAAGCATTCATAACCTTGTAGCAGTGTTCTGGAATCCTATGTGAGGGACAAACACTCAGAATCCAGCCACTGTGTACTGGAATCCTATCCGAGGGCAAACATTCAGAACCTCGCAGAAGTGTTCTGGAATCCTATGTGAGGGACAAACAGTAAGAAATCTGCAGCACTGCTCTGGAATCTTTTTTGAGGGAAAAACAATCAGAACCCAGTGGCAGTGTTCTTCAATCCTTTTGTGAGGGAAAAACATTCAGAACCTCATAACAGTCTTCTGGGATCCTATCTGAGGGAAAAGCATTCACAACCTCGTAGCAGTGATCTGGAATCCTATATGTGGGACAAACACTCAGAACCCAGCAGCAGTCTTCTGCAATCCTTTGGGAGGGGAAAACATTCACACCCTCGAAAAGGTGTTCTGGATTCCTATGTAATAGAAAGATATTCAGACCCTCATATTATTGTTCTGGAATCCAATATGAGGGACAAATGCTATGAACCCAGTAGCAGTGTTCTGAAATGCTTTGTGAGGGATAAACATTCAGACCTTTGTAGCACTGTTCTGGAATCTTATGCGGGGGACAAACACTCAGAACCCAGCAGCAGTGTTCTGGAATCCTATGTGAGGGACAAACACTCAGAACACAGCCACAGTCTTCTGGAATCCTATATGAGCCACAAACGTTCAGAACTTCATAGCAGTGTTCTGGATTTCTATGTTATGGACAAACACTCAGTAGCCAGCAGCAGTGTTCTGGATTCCTAAGTGAGGGACAAACATTCAGAAACCAACAGCAGTGTTCCTGAATCATATGTGATGGACAAACACACAGAACCCAGCAGAAGTGTTCTAGAATCTTTTGTGAGGGACAAACACTCAGAACCCGACAGCAGTGTTCTGTAATCCTTTAGGAGGGAAAAACTTTCACACCCTCATAACAGTGTTCCGGAATCCTAGGTGAGGGAAAAACATTCAGACACTCGTACCATTGTTTTGGAAGACAATATGAGGGCAACCACTCAGAACCCAGCAGCAGTTTCCTGGAAACCTTTATGAGGGATAAACATTCAGAACCTCGTAGCAGTGTTTTGCAATCTTATGTGAGGGACAAACACTAGAACCCAGCAGCAGTGTTCTGGAATCCTATGAGAGGGAGAAACACTCAGAACCCAGCAGCACTGTTCTGGAATCCTATGTGAGTGACAAACTTTCTGAATTTCGTAGCAATGTTCTGGAATTCTATGTGAGGGACAAGCAGTGAGAAATCAGCAGCAGTGTTCTGGAATTCTATGTGAGGGACAAAAATTCAGACCCTCCTAGCAGTGTTCTGGAATCCTATGTGAGGTACAAATCCTCAGAACCTAGCAGCAATGTTCTAGAATCTTTTGTGAGGGACAAACACTCAGAACCCAGACTAAGTGTTCTAGAATCCTTTGTGAAGGACAAACATTCAGAACCTCGTAGCAGTGTTCTGGAATTCTATGTGAGGGACAAACACTCAGTATCCAGCCACAGTGTACTGGAATCCTATCTGAGAGCCAACATTCCAAACCTCATCACAGTGTTCTGGAATCCTATGTGAAGGACAAACACTAAGAAGTCTGCAGCAGTGCCCTGGAATTCTTTGTGTGGGACCAAAAACATAACTCAGTAGCAGTGTTCTAAAATCCTTTGTGAGGGAAAAACATTCAGATCCTCATAGCAGCGTTCTGGAACCCTATATGAGGGACAAACACTCAGAACCGAGCAGCAGTGTTCTGGAATCCTTTGGGAGGGAAAAACATTCACACCCTCGTAACTGAGTTCTGGAATCCTACGTGAGGGAAAAACTTTCAGACATTCGCAGCATTGTTCTGGAATCCAATATGAAGGACAAACCCTCAGAATCCAGTAGTAGTGTTCTGGAAACATTTGTGAGGGATAAACATTCAGACCCTCGTAGCAGTGTTCTGGAATCCAAAGTGAGGGACAAACACTCAGAACACAGCAGCAGTGTTCTGGAATCCTAAGTGAGAGACAAACACTCAGAACCCAGGAGCAGTGTTCTGGAATCCTAAGTGAGCAGCAAACTTTCAGAAATTTGTAGCAGTGTTCTGGAATTCTATGTGAGGGAGAAACACTCAGAACCCAGCTGCAGTGTTTTGGAATCCTAAGTGATGGACAAACACTCAGAACCCAGCAGCAGTGTTCTGGAATCCTAAGTGAGGGACAAGCGTTCGGAATCCAGCATTATTGTTCTAGAATCCTTTGTGAGGACAAACACTCCGAACCCAGTCCCAGTGTTCTAGAATCCTTTATTAGGGACAAGCATTCAGAACCTCGTAGCAGTGTTCTGGAATCCTATCTGAGGGACAAATACTCAGAATCCAGCCACTGTGTACTGGAATAATATATGAGTGCAAACATTCAGAACCTCGTAGCAGTGTTCTGGAATCCTATCTGAGGGACAAATACTCAGAATCCAGCCACTGTGTACTGGAATAATATATGAGTGCAAACATTCAGAACCTCATAGAAGTGTTCTGGAATCGTATGTGAGGGATAAAAACTAAGACATCTGCAGCAGTGCTCTGGATTCCTTTGTGAGGGACAAGCAAACAGAACCCAGTAGCAATGTTCTACAATGCTCTGTGAGAGAAAAACATTCAGAACCTCGTAGCAGTGTTCTGGAATCCTATGTGAGGGAAAACATTCAGACCCTAGAAGCTGTGTTCTGGAATCCTACCTGAGGGACAAACACTCAGAACCCAGCAGCAGTGTTCTGGAATCCTTTAGGAGGGAAAATATTCACACCCTCGTAACAGTGTTCTGGAATCCTATGTGAGGGAAAAACATTCAGACACTCGTAGCACTGTTCTGGAATCCAATATAAGGGCAAACACTCAGAACCCACTAGCAGTGTTCTGGAAACCTTTGTGAGGGATAAACATTCAGACCCTCGTAGCAGTGTTTTGGAATCCTATGTGAGGAACAAACACTCAGAATGCAGAAGCAGTGTTCTGGAATCCTATGAGAGAAACAAACACTCACAACCCAGCAGCAGTGTTCTGGAATCCCATGTGAGCGACAAACTTTCTGAACTTCCTAGCAGTGTTCTGGAATTCTATGTGAGTTACAAACTCTGAGAAGCCAGCAGCAGTGTTCTTGAATCCTAAGTGAGGGACAAACACTCAGAACCCAGCAGCAGTGTTCTGGAATCCTATGAGAGGGACAAACACTCAGAACCTATCAGAAGTGTTCTAGAATCCTTTGTGAGGGACAAACACTCAGAACCCAGCATCATTGTTCTAGAATCCTTTGTGAGAGTCAAACATTCAGAACCTCGTAACAGTGTTCTGGAATCCTAGGTGAGGGACAAACACTCAGAATCCAGCCATTGTGTACTTGAATTCTAGCTGAGGGCAAACATTCAGAACCCCATAGAAGTGTTCTGGAATCCTATGTGTGGGACAAACTCTAAGAAATCTGCAGCAGTGCTCTGGAATCCATTGTGAGGGGCAAACAAACATAACCCAGTAGCAGTGTTCTACAATCCTTTCTGAGGGAAAGACATTCAGACCATCTTAGCAGTGTTCTTGAATCCTTTGTGAGGGAAAAGCATTCAGACCCTCGTTGCAGTGATTTGGAATCCTATATGTGGGACAAACACTCAGAACCCAGCAGCAATCTTCTGGAATCCTTTGGTAGGGAAAAACATTCAAACTATCGAAACAGTGTTCTGGAAACCTATGTGATGGAAAGACATTCGGACCCTCTTGATATTGTTCTGGAATCCAATATGAGGGACAAATGCTAACAGCTCAGTAGCAGTGATCTGAAACACTTTGTGACTGATAAACATTCAGACCCTTGTAGCACTGTTCTGGAATCTTATGTGAGGGACAAACACTCAGAACCCAGCAGCAGTGTTCTGGAATCCTGTGTGAGGGACAAACACTCAGAACCCAGCAGCAGTGTTCTGGAATCCTGTGTGAGGGACAATCACTCAGAACCCAGCAGCAGTGTTCTGGAATCCTATGTGTGTGACAAACTTTCAGAACTTCGTAGCAGTGTTGTGGATTTCTATGTCATGGACAAACACTGAGATGGCAGCAGTGTTCTGGATTCCTAAGTGATGGACAAACACTCAGAAACCAACAGCAGTGTTCTGGAATCCTATGTGATGGACAAACACCGGAACCCAGCAGCAGTGTTCCAGCATCCTTTGTGAGGGACAAACACTCAGAACTCAGCAGAAGTGTTCTAGAATACTTTGTGAGGGACAAACATTCAGAACCTCGTAACACTGTTCTGGAATCCTATGTGAGGGGCAAACACTCAAAATCCAACCACTATGTACTGGAATCCTATCTGAGGCTAAACATTCAGAACCTCTGAGAAGTGTTCTGGAATCCTAAGTGAGGGACACACACTAAGAAATCTGTAGCTGTGTTCTGGGATCTTTTGTGTGGGACAAACTAACAGAACTCAGTAGCAGCATTGTACAATCCTTTGTGAGGGAAAAATATTCAGACCTCTTAGCAGTCTTCTGGAATCCTATGTGAGGGAAAAACATTCAGACCCTCGCTGCAGTGTTCTCAAATCCAACATGAGGGACAAACACTCAGAACCCAGTAGCATTGTTCTGGAAACCTTTGTGAGGGATAAACATTCCGACCCTCGTAGCAGTGTTCTGGAATCCTAAGTGAGGGACAGACACTCAGAACCAAGCAGCAGTGTTCTGAAATCCTATGTATGCGACACAGTTTTAGAATTTCATAGCGGTGTTCTGGAATTCTATGTGAGGGACAAACACTCAGAAGCCAGCTGCAGTGTTCTGGAATCCTATGTGAGGGACAAACATTCAGAACCCAGCAGCAGTGTTCTCGAATCCTATGTGAGGGACTAACCCAGAGAACACAGCAGCACTGTTCTAGAATCCTTTGTGAGGGACAAACACTCAGAACCCAGAAGCAGTGTTCTAGAATCCTTTGTGAGGGACAAACAATCAGAATCTCGTAGAAGTGTTCTAGAATCCTATGTGAGGGACAAACACTCAGAATCCAGAGACTGTGTACTGGAATCCTACTTGAGGGCAAACATTCAGAACCTCGGAGAATTGTTCTGGTATCCTATGTGAGGGACAAACCCTAAGAAATCTGGAGCATCGCTCTGTAATCCTTTTTGAGGGACAAACAAACAGAACCCAGGTTCAGTGTCCTACAATCCTTTGTGAGGGAAAAACATTCAGACTCTCGTAGTAGTGTTCTGGAATCCTATGTGAAGGACAAACACTCAGAAAACTGTAGCAGTGTTCTGGAATCCTATGTGAGGGAGAAATACCCAGGACTCGGCAGCATTGTTCGGCAATTCTATGTGAGGAGCAAACACTCCGAAACCAGCAGCAGTGTTCTAAAATCTTTTGTGAGTGACAAGCATTCAGACACTCAGAGCACTATTCTGTAACGCTAAGTGAGGGAGAAACATTCAGACCCTCGTAGCAGTGTTCTGAAATCCTATGTGAGAGACAAACACTAAGAACGCAGCTGCAGTGTTCTGGAATCCTATCTGAGGGACAAACACTGAGAACCCAGCAGCAGTGTTCTGGAATCCTTTGTGCATGACAAACATTCAGAAATTCATAGCAGTGTTCTGGAGTCATATGTGAGGGACAAACACTCTGAAACCAGCTGCAGTGTTTTGGAATCCCATGTGAGGGACAGACACTCAGAACCCAGCAGCAGTGTTCTGGAATCCTACGTAAATGAAAGACACTCAGAACCCAGAAGCAATGTTCCAGAATCCTTTGTGAGGGACAAACTATGAGACCTTCAAAGCAGTGTTCTGGAATCTTATGTGAGGGAAAAACACTGAGAACCCAGCAGCAGCGTTCTGGAATCCTATGTGTGGGACAAACACTCAGAACCCAGCCGCAGGGTTCTGGAATGTTATGTGATGGACAAACACACATAAGCCAGCCACTGTGTTCTGGAATCCTATGTGAGGGATGGACACTCAGAACCCAGCAGCAGTGTTCTGGATTCCTATATGAGGGACAGACACTCAGAACCTTGCAGCAGTTTTCTGGAATCCTAGGTGAGGTACAATCACTCAGAACCCAGCTGCAGTGTTCTGGAATCCTATGTGTGGAACAAACATTCAGACCCTCGTAGCAGTGTTCTGGAATCTTATGTGATGATCAAACACTCAGAAAACAGTAGTAGTGTTCTGGAATCCTATGTCAGGGACAAACACTCTGAACCCAACAGTAGTGTTCTGGTATCGTTTGTGAGGGACTAACATTCAGACCCTCATAGCACTGTTCTGAAATCCTAGGTGAGAGATAAACACTCAGAACCCATCTGCAGTGTTCTGGAATCCTGAGTGAGGGACAAACACTCAGAACCCAGCAGCAGTGTTCTGAAATCCTTTGTGAGGGACAAACATTCAGAACTTCGCAGCATTGTTCTGGAATCATACGTGAGGGACAAACACTCAAAACCCCCCAGCAGTGCTCTGGAATCCTATGAGAGGGACAAGCATTCAGACCCTCATAGCACTGTTCTGGAACGCTATGTGAAGGACAAACATTCAGAGCCTCATAGCAGTGTTCTGGAGTCCTATGTGAGGTACAAACCCATAGAACTCAGTAGAATTCTGCAAATCTACATGAATTACAAACACTCGGAACACAGCAGCAGTGTTCTCGATTCCTATTTGAAGGACAAACAATCAGAACCCTGCAGCAGTGCTCTGGAATCCCATCTGAGGGACCATCACTAAAAACCCAGCAGTAATGTATTGTACCTTACATGATTGACAAACACACAGAACCCATCAGAAGTGTTCTGGAATCCTACGTGAGTGACAAACACTCAAAACCCAGCATCAGAGTTCTGGAATCCTTTGTGAAGGACAAACATTCAGACCATTGTAGAACTGTTCTGAAATCCTAGGTGTGGGACAAAAACTCAGAACCCAGCACTGTTGTTCTGGAATCCTATGTGAGGGACAAATACCCAGAGCCCAGCAGCAGTGTTCAGGAATTCTATGTGACGTAAACCCTTAGAACCCAGCACCTGTGTTCTGGAAAACTTTTTGGGGACAAACAGTCAGACACTCATAGCACTGTTCTATAATGCTATGTGAGGGAGAAACTTTCAGACTCTCATAGCAGTATTCTGAAATCCTATGTGAGGGACAAACACTCAGAAAACAGCAGCAGTGTTCTGTTGTCCTATGTGAGGAACAAACACTCAGAACCCAGCAGCAGTGTTCAGGAATTCTATGTGAGGGACAAAGCCTCAGAACCCAACAGCAGTGTTCTGGAATCCTTTGTGAGGGACAAATATTGAGACACCCAGAGCAGTGTTTTGGAATACTATGTGAAGGACAAACACTCAGAACCCTGCAGCAGGGTTCTGGAATCCTATGTGTGGGACAACCATTCAGACCCTCATAACACTGTTCTGTAATGTTCTGTGAGGGACAAACATTCAGACCCTCATAGCAGTGTTCTGGAATCCTGCGTGAGGTACAAACCCTGAGAAGTCAAAAGCAGTGTTCTGGAATTCTATGTGAAGGACAAACCCTCAGAACCTTGCAGCAGTGTTCTGGAATCGTATGTGAGGGACTAACACTCAGAATCCAGCAGCAGTATTCTGGAATGCTATGTGAGGGCAAACACACAAAACCCAGCAGCAGTGTTCTGGTATCCTATATAAGGGACAAACACTCAGAACCCAGCAGAGGTGTCCTGGATTCCTATGTGAGACACAAACATTCAAAAACTAGCAGCAGTGTCCAGGAATCCTAAATGAGGGACAAACATTCAGACCTTCGGAGCAGTGTTCTGGAATCCTATGTGAAGGACAAACACTCAGAACGCAATAGCAGTGTTCTGGAATCCTATGTGAAGGACAAACACTCAGGACCCAGTAGCAGTGGTAGGGAGTGCTTTCTGATGGACAAACATTCAGAACCTTGTAGCAATTTTCTGGAATCCTATGTGAGGGACAAACGCTCAGAACACAGCAGCAGTGTTCTGGAATACTTTGTGAGGGACAAACACTCAGAACCCAGCAGCATTTTTCTGCAATCTTTTGTGAGAGACAAACTTTCATACCCTTGGAGCCATGTTCTCGAATCCTTTTTGAGGGACAAACACTCAGAACCCAACAGCAGTGGTCTGGAATCCTCTATGAGGGACAAACACTCAGAACCCAGCAGCAGAGTTCTGGACTCCTAAGTGAGGGACAAACACTCAGAACCCAGCAGCAGTGTTCGGGAATCCAAAGTGACGGACAAACATTCAGATCCCTTCAGCAGTGTTCTGGGATCCTAAGTGAGGGACAAGCATTCAGACCCTCATAGCACTGTTCTCGAATGCTCTGTGAGGGACAAACATTCAGAACCTCGTAGCAGTGTTCTGGGATCCTATGTGAGGTACAAACCTTCAGAACCCAGCAGCATTGTTCTGGAATTCTACATGACGGACAAACCCTCAGAACCTAGCTGCAGTGTTCTGGAATCCTATGTGAGGGACGAACACTCAGAACCCAGCAGCAGTGTTCTGCATTCCTATGTGAGGGACAAGCACTCAGAAACCTGCAGCAGCGTTTGGGAATCCCATGTGAGGGACAAATACTGAAAACCCAGCAGAAGTGTTCTTGTATCCTACATGATGGACAAACACACAGAACCCAGCAGAAGTGTTCTGAAATCCTGTATGAGTGACAAACACTCACAACCCAGCAGTAGGGTTCTGGAATCCTATGTGAGGGACAAACATTCAGACCCTTGTTGCAGTGTTCTGGAATCCTATGTAAGGGACAAACACTCACAATACAGCAGCAGTGTTCTGGAATCATAAGTAACGGACTAACACTCAGAACCAAGCAGCAGTGTTCTGGAACGCTATGTGAGGGACAAACACTCAGTATGCAGCAGCAGTGTTCCAGAATCCAATGTAAGGGAGAAACACTCAGATCCAGGCAGCAGGGTTCTGGAATCCTATGTGTGGGACAAGCATTCATACCCTCATAGCACTGTTCTGGAATGCTCTGTGAGGGACAAACATTCAGACCCTCGTAGGAGTGTTCTGGAATCCTATGTGAAGGACAAATACTCAGAAAACACTAGTAGTGTTCTGGAATACTAAGTGAGGGGCAAAGATTCTGAACCTAGCAGCAGTGTCCTGGAATCGTTTGTGAGGACCTAACATTCAGAAACTCATAGCAGTGTTCTGGAATCCTAGGTGAGAGACAAACACTCAGAACCCAGCTGTAGTTTTCTGGAATCCTATGTGAGGGACAAACACTCAGAACCCAGAAGCTGTGTTCTGGAATCCTTTGTGAAGAACAAACATTCAGACCCTCGGAGCCTTTTTCTGGAATCCTATGTGAGGGACAAACTTTCAGATCCCCGCGGCAATGTTCCGGAATCCTTCGGGAGGGACAATCATTCAGACCCTCCGAGCACTGCTCTGTAATGTTATGTGAGGGTCAAACATTCAGACCCTCTTAGCAATGTTCTGGAATCCTAAGTGAGGTACAAAACCTCAGAACCCAGAAGCGGTGTTCTGGAATTCTACGTGAGGGACAAACCCTCAGAACCTAGCAGCAGTCTTCTGGAGTCTTATGTGAGGGACGAACACAGAGAACCCAGCAGCAGTGTTCTGGATTCCTATGTGAGGGACAAACACTCAGAACCCTGCAGCAGTTTTCTGGAATCCAAGGTGAGGGACAATCACTCAGAACCCAGCAGCTATGTTCCGGAAACCTATGTGAGGGACAAACATTCGGACCCTCGTGTCAGTGTTCTGGAATCCTATGCGACGATCAAACACTCAGAAAACGGTACCAGTGTTCCGGAATCCTTTGTGAGGGACAAACACTCTGAACCCAGCAGCAGTGTTCTGGTATCGTTTGTGAGGCAGCAACATTCAGACCCCTGTAGCACTGTTCTGGAATCCTAGGTGAGAGACAAACACTCAGAACCCTGCAGCAGTGTTCTGGAATCCTACGTGAGGTGCAAACATTCAGACCCTCATAGCACTGTTCTGGAATGCTACGTGAGGGACAAACATTCAGACCCTAGTAGCAGTGTTCTAGAATCCTATGTGAGGTACAATCCCTCAGAACCCAGCAGCAGTGTTCTAGAATTCTACGTGAAGGACACACACTCGGAACACAGCAGCAGTGTTCTGGATTGTTATGTGAAGGACAAACACTCAGAACCCTGCAGCAGTGCTCTGGAATCCTATGTGAGGGACAAACACTAAAAACCCAGCAGTAGTGTTTTGTATTCTAAATGATGTACAAACACACAGAACCCATCAGAAGTGTTCTGGAATCTTATGTGAGTGAAAACATTTGGAAACCAGCAGCAGTGTTCTGGAATGCTATGCGAGGGACAAACATTCAGACCCTTGTAGCACTGCTCTGAAATCCTAGGTGTGGGACAAAAACTCAGAACCCAGCAGTCGTGTTCTGAAATCCTATGTGAGGGACAAATACCCAGTACCCAGCAGCAATGTTCAGGAATTCCATGTGAGGAACAAACCCTCAGAACCCAGCAGCAATGTTGTGGAATACTTTGTGGGGAACAAACAGTCAGACACTCATAGCACTGTTCTATAATGCTATGTGAGGGAGAAACATTCAGACCCTCGTAGCAGTGTTCCGAAATCCTATGTGAGGGACAAACATTCAGAAAACAGCAGCAGTTTTCTGTAGTCCTATGTGAGGGACAAACACTCAGAACCCAGTAGCAGTGTTCGGGAATTCTATGTGAGGGACAAACCGTCAGAACCCAGCAGCAGTGTTCTGGAATCCTTTTTGAGGGACAAACTTTCAGACACTCAGAGCAGTGTTTTGGAATCCTATGTGAGGGACAAACACTCAGAACCCTGCAGCAGGGTTCTGGAATCCTATGTGTGGGACAAGCATTCAGACCCTCATAGCACTGTTCTGGAATGCTCTGTGAGGGACAAACATTCAGACCCTTGTAGCAGTGTTCTGGAATCCTGTGTGAGGTACAAACCCTCAGAACTCAGAAGCAGTGTTCTGGAATTCTATGTGAAGGAAAAACCCTCAGAACCTTGCAGCAGTGTTCTGGAATCGTATGTGAGTTACTAACATTCAAAACCCAGCAGCAGTGTTCTGGATTGCTATGTGAGGGACAAACACACAAAAGCCAGCAGCACTGTTCTGGTATCCTATATAAGGGACAAACACTCAGAATCCAGTAGAAGTGTTCTGGTATTCTATATAAGGGACAAACACTCTCAGAATCCAGCAGAAGTGTTCTGGATTCCCATGTGAGGGACAAACATTCAAAAATCAGCAGCAGTGTTCTGAAATCTTAAGTGAGGGACAAACGTTCAGACTCTCGGAGCAGTGTTCTATAATCCTATGTGAAGGACAAACACTCAGAACCCAGTAGCAGTGTTCTGGAACCCTATGTGAGGGACAAACACTCAGAACCCAGTAGCAGTGTTCTGGAATACTTTGTGAAGGACAAACACTCAGAACTCAAAAGCAGTGTTCTGGTATCGCTTTGAGGGACAACCATTCAGACACTCGTAGCAGTGCTCTGGGATTATATGTGAGGGACAAACATTCAGAACCCAGCAGCAGTGTTCTGGTATCCTTGGTGAGGAACAAACTTTCAGAACCTCCGAGCAGTATTCTGGAATCCCGGGTTTGGAACAAGCACTCAGAACCCAGCAGCAGTGTTCGGGAATTCTATGTGAGGAACAAACCGTCAGAACCCAGCAGCAGTGTTCTGGAATCCTTTTTGAGGGACAAACTTTCAGACACTCAGAGCAGTGTTTTGGAATCCTATGTGAGGGACAAACACTCAGAGCCCTGCAGCAGGGTTCTGGAATCCTATGTGTGGGACAAGCATTCAGACCCTCATAGCACTGTTCTGGAATGCTCTGTGAGGGACAAACATTCAGACCCTTGTAGCAGTGTTCTGGAATCCTGTGTGAGGTACAAACCCTCAGAACTCAGAAGCAGTGTTCTGCAATTCTATGTGAAGGACAAACCCTCAGAACCTTGCAGCAGTGTTCTGGAATCGTACGTGAGGTACTAACATTCAGAACCCAGCAGCAGTGTTCTGGAATGCTATGTGAGGGACAAACAAAACCCAGCAGCAGTGTTCTGGTATTCTATATAAGGGACAAACACTCAGAATCCAGTAGAAGTGTTCTGGTATCCTATATAAGGGACAAACACTCAGAATCCAGCAGAAGTGTTCTGGATTCCTATGTGAGGGAGAAACATTCAAAAATCAGCAGCAGTGTTCTGAAATCTTAAGTGAGGGACAAACATTCAGACCGTCGGAGCAGTGTTCTATAATCCTATGTGAAGGACAAACATTCAGAACCCAGTAGCAGTGTTCTGGAAACCTATGTGAGGGGCCAACACTCAGAACCCAGCAGCAGTGTTCTGGAATGCTATGTGAGGGACAAGCATTCAGACCCTCATAGCAGTGTTCTGGAATCTTATGTGAGGGACAATCATTCAGACCGTCGTGGCACTGTTCTGGAATCCTATGTCATGGAAAAACACTCAGAACCCTGCAGCAGTGTTCTGAAATACGATGTGGTGGACAAACAAAGAACACAGCAGCAGTGTTCGGGAATCCTTTGTGAGGGAAAAACATTCAGAACCTCGTAGCAGTGTTCTGTAATCCTATGTGAGGAACAAACCCTCAGAACCCAGCAGCAGTGTTCTCGAATCCAATTGGTGGGACAAACACTCAGAACCCAACAGGATTGATCTGTAATTCTTTGTGAGGGACAAAGATTCAGACACTCGTAGCAGTGTTCTGGAATCCTATGTTAGGGACAATCACTCAGAAACCTGCAGCAATGTTCTGCAATCCTATGGGAGGGACAAACACTCAGAACCCAGCCACTGTGTACTGGAATTCTAACAGAGGGAAAAACATTCAGACCCTCCTAAAGTGTTCTGTAATCCAATGTGAGGAACAAACCCTGAGAACCCAGCAGCAGTGTTCTCAAATCCAATTTGTGGGACAAACACTCAGGACCCATCAGGAGTGGTCTGGAATTCTTTGTGAAGGACAAAGATTCAGACCCTCTTAGCAGTGTTCTTGAATCCTATGTTAGGGAGAATCACTCAGAACCCTGCATCAGTGTTCTGGAATCCTATGGGATTGACAAACCCTCAGAACCCAGCAGCAATGTTCTGGAATCCTATGGGAGGGACAAACACTCAGAAACCGGCAGCAGTGTTCTGGAATCCTTTGTGAGGGACAAATATTCAGACCCTCGTAGCAATGTTATGGAATCCCATGTGCTATATAAACCTTCAGACCCCCGTAGCAGTGTTCTCGAATGCTATGTGAGGGACAAATAATCAGAACCCAGCAGCCATGTTCTGTAATACTATGTGAGGGACAAACACTGAGAACCCTGCAGCAGTGTTTGTGAGGGACTTACATTCAGGCCTTCTTATCAGTGTTATGGAATCCTATGTGAGGGACCAACCCTCAGAACCCAGCAGCAGTGTGCTGGTTTCCTTCCTGAGGCACAAACATTCAGAGCCTCGTAACAGTGTTCTCGAATCCTATATGAGGGACAAACACCCCGAACCCAGCAGCAGTGTTTTGGAATCCTTTGTGAGAGAAAAACATTCAGACCCTCAAAGCAGTGTTCTGGAATCCTATGTGACAGAGAAACACCCAAAACCCAGCAGCTGTGTTCTGGTATCCTACATGAGGGGCAAGCATTCAGACCATCATAGCAGTGTTCTGGAATCATATGTGAGAGACAAACATTCAGACCCTCATAGCTGTGTTCTGCAATCCTGTGAGAGGGAAAAACATTCAGAACCCAGCAGCAGTGTTCTGGAATCCTATGTGAAGGACAAACACTCAGAACCCAGCAACAGTATTCTGGAATCCCACGTGAGGGACTAGCATTCAGACCATCGTAGCAATGTTCTGGAATGCTATGTTACGGAGAATCCTTAAGACCGTCGTACCAGTGTTCTGGAATCCTATGAGAGGGACAAACAATCAGAACCCAGTAGCAGTATTCTGGAATCCTTTGTGAGGGACAAACACCAGGAACCCAGCAGCAGTGTTCTGGAATCCTATGTGTGGGACAAACTCTCAGATCCCAGCAGCAGTGTTCCGGATTGCTATGTAAGGGACAAACACTGAGAACACGGCAGCAGTGTTCTGGAATCCTTTGTGAGGGACAAAGATTCAGACCCTCGTAGCAGTGTTCTGGATAAGATGTGAGGCTCAATCAGAACCCAGCAGAATTGTCCTAGAATCCTATGTGAGTAACAGAGACTCAGAACCCAGCAGCAGTGTTCTGGAATCCTTTGTGAGGGACAAACATTCAGAACCTTGGAGAAGTTTTCTGGAATACTATGTGAGGGTAAAACACCAAGAACCCAGGAGCAGTTTCTTGAAAACGTTGTGAGGGAAAAGCTTTCAGACATTTGTACCAGTGTTCTGGAATCCGATGTGAGGGACAAATATTCAGAACCTCGTAGCAGTGTTCTGTAATCCTAAGTGAGGGACAATTACTCAGAACCCAGCAGCAGTGTTCTGGAATCCTTTGTGAGGGACATAGATTCAGACCCTCTTAGCAGTATTCTCTAATCCTATGTGAGTGACAAACATTCAGACACTCGTAGCAGTGTTCTGGAAACCTATGTGTAGGACAAACACTCAGAACCCAGCAGCAGTGTTCTGGAATCCTATTTGATTGGCAAAGACACAGAACCCATCAGCAGTGTTCTGGAAAACCAGCAGCAGAGTTCTGGAATCCTATGTGAGGGAGAAATCCTCAGAACCCACCAGTGTGTTTTGAAATCCATTGTGAAGGACACACATTCATACCCTCCTAGAAGTGTTCTGGAATCCTATGTGAGTGACAAACTTTGAGACCCTCGTAGAAGTATTCAGGAATCATATGTGAGTGGCAAACACTAAGAACCGAGCAGAAGTGTTCTGGAATCATATTTGATTGACAAACACACAGAACCCCGCAGCAGTGTTCTGGAATCCTTTGTGAAGGAAAAACCTTCAGAAACTTGTAGCAGTGTTCTGGAATCCTATGTGAGGGAGAAACACTGAGAACCCAACAGCAGTGTTCTGGAATCCTATGAGAGGGTCAAACACTCAGAACCCAGCAGCAGTGTTCTGGTATCCTATGTTATGGACAAACACTCAGAACCCAGCAGCAGTGTTCTGGATTCCTTTTTGAGGGAAAATCATTCAGACCCTCGTAGCCATGTTCTGTAATCCTATGTGAGGGACAAAGTCTCAGAACCCAGCAACGATATTACAGAATCCTTTGTGAGGGACTATATTCAGACCCAGGTAGCAGTGTTCTGGAATTCAATATGAGAAACAAACACTCCGAACCCGGCAGCAGTGTTCTGGAATCTTTTGTGAGGGACAAATATTCAGGCCCTCATAGCAGTGTCCTTTAATCTTAAGTGAGGGGCAAGCACTCAGAACTCTGTTGCAGTGTTCTGGAGTCCTATGTGAGGGACAAGCATTCAGACACTTGTAACAGTGTTCCATAATCCTAAGTGTGGGACACACATTCACACCCTCGTAGCAGTGTCCTGAGTCCTATGTGAGAGACAAACACTGAGAACCCAGCAGCAGTGTTCTGGAATCCCTTGTGAGGGAGAAACATTCAGACCCCCGTAGCAGTGTTCTGGAATCCTATGTGAAGGACAAACACTCAGATCCCAGCAGCAGTGTTTGGGAATCCTTTGTGAAGGTCAAACGTTCAGACCCTCTCAGGAGGGTTCTGGAATTCTATGTGAGGGACAAACACTCCGAAACCAGCAGCAGTGTTCTAGAGTGTTTCATGAGGGACAAACACTCAGGCCCTCAGAGCAATATTCTTTAAACCTAAGTGAGGGACAAACACTCAAAACCCTGTAACACTGTTCTGGAATCCTTTGTGTGGACAAACACACAGAACCCAGCAGCAGTGTTCTGGAGTCCTTTGTGAGGGAAAAACATTCAGACCCTCCGAGCGGTGTTGTGGATTCCTATGCTTGGACCAAACACTCAGAACATGGCAGCAGTGCTCTATAATCCTTTGTGAAGGACAAACATTCAGACCCTTCAAGCAGTGTTCTGGAATCCTATGTGAGTGACAAACCCTTAAAACCCAGCAGCAGTGTTCTAGAATATTATGTGAGGGACAAACCCTCAGAACTTGGCAACAGTATTCTGGAATCCTATGTGAGGGTAAAACACTCAGAACCCAACTGCAAGGTTCTTGAATCCTATGTGAGGGATAAACACTCAGAACCCAGCAGCATTGTTCTGTAATCTTTTCTGTGGGACAAACTTTCGTACAGTTGTAGCAGTGTTCTGGAGTCCAATCTGAGGACAAACACTCAGAAAACAGCAGCAGTGTTCTGGAATCCTTTGTGAGGGACAAACATTCAGACCCTCAGAGCAGTGTTGTGGAATCCTATGTGAGGGGCAAACACACAGAACGTGGAAGCAGTGTCCTGGTATTCTCTCTGTGGGACAAACACTCAGAACCTAGCCATGGTGTTCCGGAATTCTATATGAGGGACAAACCCTCAAAAACGAGAATCATTGTTGTGGAATCCTTTGTGTGGGACAAACATTCAGACACTCATAGCAGTGTTCTGGAATCCTAGGTGAGGGACAAGCACTCAGAATCCAGCAGCAGTGTTCTAGAATTCTACGTGAGGGACAAACCCACAGAACATATCAGCAGTATTCAGGAATCCTATGTGAGAGGCAAACACTCAGAACCCCGCAGCACTCTTCTGGAATCCTTTGTGAGGGACAAACTTTCATACCCTCTTAACAGTGTACTGGAATCTTATGTGAGGACAAGCACTCAGAACACAGCAACAGTGTACTGGAATCCTATGTGGGGGACAAACAGTGAGCAACGAGTAGCAGTGTTCTGGAATTCTAAGGGAGGGACAAACCCTCAGAACCCAGTAGCAGTGCTGTGGAATCTTACGTGAGGAAAAAACACTCCAAATCCAGCAGCAGTGTTCCGGAATTCTATGTACAGGACAGACACTCTGAAACCAGCAGCAGTGTTCTTTAATACTTTCCAAGTTACAAACATGCAGACCCTCGTTGCAGTGTACTGGAATCCTATGTGAGGGAAAAGCATTCAGACTCTCGTAGCAGTGTTCTGGAATCCTATGTGAGGGACAAACACTCAGAACCCAGAAGCAGTATTCTGGAATAATTTGGCAGGGACAAACATTCAGACCCTCATAGCAGTGTTCTGGAATCCTATGTGAGAAACAAACGTTCAGACCCTTGTAGCAGTGTTCTCGAAACCGGTGTGTGTTTCAAACCCTCAGAACCCAGCAGCAGTGTTCTGGAATCCTAAGTGAGGACAAACACTCAGAACCCAGCAACATTCTTCTGGAATCCTATGTGAGGGATAAACACTCAGAACCCAGCAACAGTGTTCTAGAATCCTACGTGAGGGACAAACCCTCAGAACCCAACAGCAGTGTTCTGGAATCTTTTGTGAGGGACAAACATTCAGACCATCGTATCAGTGGTCTGGAATCCTATTTGAGGGACAAACCCTAATAACCCAGACGCAATGTTGTGGAATTCTATGTGAGGGACAGAACATCAGAACCTAGCAGTAGTGTTTTGGAATCCTATGTAAGGGAGAAACACTCCGAACCCATCAGCAGTCTTCTGGAATCCTGTTTGTGGGACAAACATTCAGACCATCGTAGCACTGTTCTGGAAGTCTACGTGAGGGACAAACACTCAGAACACAGCAGCAGTGTTCTGGAATCCCATGTGAGGGACAAACACTCAGAACCCAGCAGCAGCGTTATGGAATCCTTTGTGAAGGCAGACATTCAGACCATCATAGCAGTGGTCTGGAATCCTATGTGAGGGACAAACCCTCAGATCCCAGCAGCAGTGTTATGGAATCCTTTGTGAAGGCAGACATTCAGACCATCATAGCAGTGGTCTGGAATCCTATGTGAGGGACAAACCCTCAGAAACCAGCAGCAGTGTTCTGGAATTCTATGTGTCTCTAACATTCTGAGGGTTTGTCCCTCACATAGGATTCCTTAACACTGCTGCTGGGTTCTGAGTGTTTGTCCCTCACATAGGATTCCAGAACTCTGCTGCTTAGTTCAGAGTGTTTGTCCATCACTTAGGATTCCAGAACAATTCTGCTGGGTTGTGAGTTTTTGTCCAACTCATAAGATTCCAGATCACTGTTGCTGGATTCTGAGTGTTTGGCCCTCACATGGGATTATAGAACACTGCTACCAGGGTCTGCATGTCTCACCCTCACAAAGTATTCCACAACAGTGCTATCAGGATCTGAATGCTTGTCCCCCACATAGGATTCCAGAACACTGCTGCAGTTTTCTGAGTGTTTGTCCCTAACATAGGATTCCAAAACACTATTCTGAGTGCCTGAACGTTTGTCCCTCACATGGGATTCCAGAACTCTGCTGCTGGGTTCTGAGTGTTTGTCCCACACAAAGGATTGCAGAACAATGTTGCTGGGTTCTTAGTGTTTGACCCTCACATAGGATTCCAGAACATAGCTGCTGGTTCAAAGTGTTTGACCCTCACATACGATTCCAGAACACGGCTACAAGGTTCTAAATGTTTGTCCCTCACGAAGGATTCCAGGACACTGCTGTTGGTTTCTAAGTGTTTTTCCGTCAAACAGTATTCCAGAACACTGCTGCTGGGTTCTGAGTGTGTGTCCCTCTCACTGAGTTCCAGAACTATGCTGCTAGGTTCTGAGGGTTTGCCCTTCACATTGAATTCCAAAACACTCCTGCTGGGTTCTGATTGTTTGTCCCTCTCATAGAATTCCAGAACACTGCTAGGAGTGTCTGTATTTTTCTCCAACGCATAGGATTTCAGAACATTGCTATGAGGGTCTGAATGCTAGTCCCTCACATGGGATTCCAGAACACTGCGGCTGGGTTCTGAGTATTTGTTCCTCACAAAGGATTCCAGAACACTGCTGGTAGGTTCTGAGTGTTTGTCCCTCACATAGGATTCCAGAACTCTGCTGTGAGGGTCGGAATGTTTCACTCTCAGATAGGAATCCAGAAGACTGCTGCTGGGTTCTGACCGGTCGTCCCTCACATAGGATCCCAGAACACTGCTTCGAGTGTCTGAGAGTTTGTACCTCACATAGGATTCCAGAACAGGGCTGCTAGGATCTCAGTGTTTGTCTCTCACATGGGATTCCAGAACACTGCTGCTGGGTTCTGAGTGTTTCTCCCTCACATAGGATTGCAGAAAACTGAGACGAGGGTCTCAATTCTTTTCCTTCACAAAGGATTCCAGGACACTGCTGCTGGGCTCTGTTTGTCCCTCAAAAAGGATTCCAGAGCACCGCTGCTTGTTTCTGAGTGTTTGTCTCTCACATAGGATTCTAGAACACTTCTACAAGTGTCTGAATGTTTGTCCCTCAGATAGGATTCCAGAACACAGTGGCTGGGTTCTGAGTGTTTGTCCCTCACACAGGATTGCAGAACACTGCTACGAGTTTCTGAATGTTTGTCCCTCACATAGGATTGTAGAACACTGCTGCTGGGTTCTGAGTGTTTGTTCCTCACATAGAATTCCAGCACACTGCTGCTGGATTCTCAGTGTTTGTCCCTCACATGGGATTCGAGAACATTGCAACGAAGTTCTGTATCTTTGTCGCTCAAACAGGATTCCAAAACATTGCTGCTGGGTTCTGTGTGTTTCTCCCTCACTTGCGATTCCAGAGCACTTCTACGAGATTCTGAATGTTTGTCCCTCACAAGGGATGCTAGAACATTGCTGTTGGTTTCTGAGTGTTTTTCCCTCACATAGGATTCTAGAAGGCTGTTGCTGGCTTCTGAGTGTTTGTCACTCACATAGAATGGCAGAACATTGCTACAAAATTCTGAATGTTTGTCACTCACATAGGATTCTAGAACACTGCTGCTGGGTTCAGAGTGTTTGTCCCTCACATAGGATTGCAGAACACTGCTGCTGGTTTCTGAGTGTTTGTCCCTCACATAGGATTCCAGAAAACTGCTGCTGGTTTCTGAATGTTTGTCCCTGACATAGGATTCCAGAACAATACTGCTGGGTTCTGAGTGTATGTCCCTCACAGAGGATTCCAGAACACTACTGCTGGATTCTGAGGGTTTGTCCCTCACAAAGGATTCCAAAACACTACTGCTGGGTTCTGAGTGTATGTCCCTCACAGAGGATTCCAGTACACTATTGCTGGATTCTGAAGGTTTGTCCGTCACATAGGATTCCAGAACACTGCTACTAGGGTCTGAATGTTTTCCATCACAAAGGATTCCAGACAACTGCTTCTGTGTTCTGAGGGTTTCTACAACAGATTGCATTCCAGAACACTGCTAGGAGGGTCTGAATGTTTGTCCCTCACATAGGATTCCAGAATACTGCACCTGGATTCTGAGTTTTTGTCCTTCACATAATATTCCAGAACACTTCTGGGAGCTTCTGAATGTTTGTGCCTGACATAGGATTTCAGAACACTTCTGTTGGGTTCTGAGTGTTTTTACCTCATATAGGATACCAGAATACTACTGCTCTGTTTTGTGTGTTTGTCTCTTACATAGCATTCCAGAACACTGCTGCAGGGTTCTGAGTGTTATTACCTTACGTATGATTCCAGAACACTGCTGTTAGGTTCTGAGGGTTTGTCCCTCACATAGAATTCCAGAAAGCTGCTGCTGAGTTGTGAGGGTTTGTACCTCACACAGGATTTCAGAACACTGCTACGAGGGTCTGATTGTTTGTTCCTCACAGAGCATTCCACAACAGTGCTATCAGGATCTGAATGCTTGTCCCCCACGTAGGATTCCAGAACACTGCTGCAGTTTTCTGAGTGTTTGTCCCTAACATAGGATTCCAAAACACTATTCTGAGTGCCTGAACGTTTGTCCCTCACATGGGATTCCAGAACTCTGCTGCTGGGTTCTGAGTGTTTGTCCCACACAAAGGATTGCAGAACAATGTTGCTGGGTTCTTAGTGTTTGTCCCTCACAAAGGATTACAGAACACTGTTGCTGGGTTCTGAGTGTTTGTCCCTCACATAGGATTCCAGAACACAGCTGCTGGTTCAAAGTGTTTGACCCTCACATACGATTCCAGAACACGGCTACAAGGTTCTGAATGTTTGTCCCTCACGAAGGATTCCAGAACACTGCTGCTGGGCTCTGTTTATTTATCCATCACAAAGGATTCCAGAGCACTGCTGATGGTTTCTGAGTATTTGTCACTCACATAGGATTCCAGAACACTTCTACGAGGCTCCGAATATTTTTCCCTCAGATAACATTCCAGAACACAGTGGCTGGGTTCTGAGTGTTTGTCCCTCAAACAGAATTCCAGAACACTGCTTCGAGGGTCTGAATGTTTGTATATCACAAAGCAATCTAAAACACTGCTGCAGGTTTCTGACTGTTTGTCACTCATTAAGGATTCGAAAATACTGCTGCTGGGTTCTTAGTGTTTGGCCCTCACGTAGGATTCCAGGATACTGCTTTTGAGTTTTGAGTGTTTGTTCCTTACAAATGATTCCAGAACATTGCTACAGGTTTCTGACTGTTTGTCCTTCACATAGGATTCCAGAAGACTTCTTCAAGTCTCCGAATGTTTGTCCTTCAGATAGGATTCCAGAACACAGGGGCTGGGTTCTGAGTGTTTGTCCCTCCCATAGGGTATCAGAACACTGCTGCTGGGTTCTGAGTTTTTGTCCATCACATAGGATTCCAGAACACTGCTGCTTTGTTCTGAGTGTTTGTCCCTCACCTAGGAATCCAGAACACTGCAGCTCGGTAATGAGGGTTTGTCCCTCACATAGAATTCTAGAACACTGCAGATATTTTCTGAGCGTTTCTCCCTCAGTTGGGATTCCAGAAAACTGATAAGATTTTCTGAATGTTTGTCCCTTACCAAGTATTCCAGAACACTGATGCTGGGTTCTGACTGTTTGGCCCTCACATTGGTTTCCAAAACACTGCTATGCCCAAAACACTGCTATGTCTGAATGTCCCTCACATAGAATTCCAGAACCCTGCTAAGGGGGTCTGAATGTTTGTCACTCACAAAGGATTCCAGAACACTGCTGATGGTTTCTTAGTGTTTGTCATTCACATAGGATTCCAGAACACTGCTGATGGTTTCTTAGTGTTTGTCATTCACATAGGATTCCAGAACACTGCCTTGAGGAACTGAATGTTGTCCCTCACAAAGGAGTACAGAACACTGCTGCTGGGTTCTGAGTGTTTGTTCCTAATGTGTGATTCCAGACCACCGCTATGAGGGTCTGAAAGTTTTTCCCTCATAAAGTATTGTAGAACAAGGCTACTGGGTTCTATTTGTTTGACCTTCACAATAGATTCCAGAGCACTGCTGCAGATTTCTTAGTATTTGTCCCTCACGTAGAATTCCAGAACATTTCTACTAGGTTCTGAATGTTTGTCCCTCAGATAGGATTCTAGTACACAGTGGATACCAGAACACTACTGCTGTGTTCTGAGTGTTTTTCCTCACAAAGTATTCTAGAACACTGCTGCTGGGTTCTGAGTGTTTGTCCCTCACATAGGATTCCAGAACACTGTTGCTGGATTCTGAGTGTTTGTCACTCACATAAGATTCCAGAACACTGCTACTGGGTTCTGTGTGTTTGTCCCTCACATAAGATTCCAGAATACTGCTACGAATTTCTGAAAGTTTGTCACTCCCACAGGACTCCAGAACACTGCAGTTGGGTTCTGAGTGTTTTTCCCTCACATAGGATTCCAGAACACTGCTGCTGGTTTTTGAGTGTTTGTCCCTCATATAGGATTCCAGAACACTGTTACGAGGGTCTGAATATTTTTCCCACAGTAAGGATTCCAGAACACTGTTATGAAGGTGTAAATGTTTTTCCCTCTCAAGGGATTCCAGAACACTGCTGCTGGTTTCTGAGTGTTTGTCACTCATATATGATTACAGAACACTGCTACGAGGCTCTGAAAATATTTCCCTCACATAGGATTCCAGAACACTGCTAGAAAGGTCTGAATGTTTTTCCCTCATAAAGGATTCCAGAGCACTGCTGTTGGTTTTTTAGAGTTTCTCCCTCACATAGGATTCCAGAACACTGCTACGAGGGTCTGAATGTTAGGCCCACAGATAGGATTCCTGTACACAGTGAGTGGGTTCTGAGTGTTTGTCCCTCAAACAGGATTGAAGAACACGGCTGCTGGGTTGTGAGTGTTTGTTCTTCATATAGGATTCTAGAACACTGCTTGCTGCTGGGTTCTGAGTGTTTGTCCCTCACTTAGGATTCCCAAAATCTGTTACGAGGGTCTGAATGTTTGCCCATCACAAAGGATTGCAGAACATTGCTGATGGGATCGGAGTGTTTGTCCATCACATAGGATTCCAGAACACTGCTTTGAGCGTCTGAAAGTTTGTCCCACAGAAAGGATTCTAGAACACTGCTGCTGGTTTCTGAGTGTTTGTCACTCACATAGGATTCCAGAACTCTGCTACGAAATTCTGAATGTTTGTTGCTCACATTTTATTTCAGAAAACTGCTGCTGGGTTCTGAGGGTTTGACTTCATAGAGGAGTCCAGAACACTGCCGTTGGGTTATCAGTGTTTGTCCCTCACATAGGATTCCAGAACACTGCTACAAGGGTCTAAATATTTTTCCCTCACAAAGATTCCAGAACACAGCTGCTGGGTTCTGTTTGCTTGTGCTTCACAAAGGATTCCAGATCACCGCTGCTAGTTTCTGAGTGTTTATCCCTCACATAGGATTCCAGAACACTTCCACGAGTGTCTGAATATTTGTCACTCGACAAGATTCCAGAAAACAGCTGCTGGTTTCTGAGTGTGTGTTCATCACATAGAATTCCAGAACACTGCTACTGGGTTCTGAGTGTATGTCCCTCAGATAGGATTCCAGAACACTTCTGCTGGATTGTGAGTGTTTGTCCCTCACATAAGATTCCAGAACACTGCTGCTGGGTTCTGAGTGTTTGTGCCTCCATTAGGATTCCGTAACACTGCTACAAGGGCCTGAATGTTTGTCCATAACAAAGGATTCCAGAAGATTTCTGCTGGGTTATGACTGTTTGTACCTCACATAGGATTCCAGAACACTGCTTCGAGGGTTTGAATGTTTGTCCCTCACAAAGGATTCAAGAACATTCCTGCGGGGTTCGGAGTGTTTGTCACTCACGCAGGATTCCAGAACACTGCTGCTGCGTTCTGGGCTTTTATCCCTCACTTAGGATTCAAGAACACTCCTACGAGGTTCTGAACGTTTGTCCCTAAAAAGGATTAGAGAACAGTGCTGCTGGGTTCAGATTTTTGTCCCTCACAAAAGATTCCAGAGCACTGCTGGTGGTTTCTGAGTGTTGTCCCTCACATAGGATTCCAGAACACTTCTACGATTGTCTGAATGTTTGTCCCTCATATAGGATTCCAGAACACAGTGGTTGGGTACTGAGTGTTTGTCCCTCACATGGGATTCCAGAACACTGCTGTTGGGTTCTGAGGGTTTGTCTCTCACATAGGATTCTAGAACACTGCTGCTGGGTTCTGAGTGTTTGTCCCTCAAATGGGATTCCAGAACAGTGCTATGAAGTTCTGAATCTTTGTCTTTCACTCAGGATTCCAAAACACTGCTGCTGGGTTCTGAATGTTTGTCCCTTACATAGGATTCCAGAACACTGCTACGGGGTTCTGAATGTTTTCCCTCAAAAAGGTTACAGAATAAAACTCTGGCTTGTGTTTGTTGCCCTCACAAAGGTCTCCATAGCACCGCTGCTGTTTTCTGAGTGTTTGTCCCTCACATAGGATTCCAGAACACCTCCACGGGTGTCTGAATATTTGTCCCTCAGAAGGATTCCAGAACACAGTGGCTTGGTTCTGAGTGTTTGTCCCTCACTTAGGATTCCAGAACACTGCTCCGACGGTCTGAATGTTTGTCCATCACAAAGGATTCCTGAACACTGCTGCTGGGTTGTGACTGTTCCTCCCTCACATAGGATTCCAGAGCACTGCTTTGAGGGCATGAATGCTTGTCCCACACAAAGAATTCTAGAACACTGCTGCTGGATTCTGAGTGTTTGTCACTCACATAGGATTCCAGAATACTGCTGTTGGGTTCTGAGTGTTTGTCCCTCACATGGGATTCCAGAACGTTACTGCCTGGTTCTGAGTGTTTGTCCCACATCTAAGATTCCAGAACAATGCTGCTGGGTTCTGAGTGTTTGTCCCTCACATAAGATTCCAGAACACTGCTACGAGGTTCTGAATGTTTGTCCCTCAGAAAGGATTCCAGAACGCTGCTGCTGGGTTCTGAGTGCTTATCCTTCACATAGGATTTCAGACCCCTGCTGCAGTGATCTGAGTGTTTGTCCATCACATAGGATTCCAGAACACTACTGCTGAGTTCTGAGTGTTTCTCCCTCACAGAGGATTCTACAACACTGCTGCTGGATTCTGAGTGTTTCTCCCACACCTAGGATTCCAGAACACTGCGAAGAGGTTCCGAATGTTTCTCCATCACAACAGATTACAGAAGATTGCTCCTAGGTTCTGAGAGTTGTCAATCACATAGGATTGCAGAACACTGCTTCGAAGGTCTGAATGTTTGTCCCTCAAAAAGCATTCCAGCACACTGCTGCTGGTTTCTGAGTGTTTGTCCCTCACTTGGGATTCCAGAATACTGCTGCTGGGTTCTGTGAGTTTGTCCCTCAAATAGGATTCCAGAACACTGCTTCGAGGTTCTGAATGTTTGTACCCCACAAAGGATTCTAGAACACTGCTGCTGGGTTCTGAGGGTTTGTTCCTCATTTAGGATTTCAGAACACTGCTGCTGGGTTCAGAGTGTTTGTCTCTCAAGAGTGATTGCAGAACACTGCTGCTCAGTTCAGACGGTTTGTCCCTCACACAGGATTAAAGAACACTGCTATGAGGTTCTGAATGTTTTTCCCTCATAAAGGATTCCAGAATACTGCTGCTGGTTTCTGAGTGTTTATCCCTCACATAGGATTCCAGAACACTTCTACCAGTGTCTGAATGTTTGCCCCTCAGTTAGGATTCAAGAACACAGTGGCGGGGTTCCGAGTGTTTGTCCCTCACATAGGATTCCAGAACCCTGCTGCTTGGTTCTGTGTGTTTGTCCCTCACGGAGGATTCTAGGACACTGCTGCTGGCTTCTGGGTGTTTGTCCCTCACATGGGAAATCAGAACACTGCTACGACAGTCTGAGTGTTGTCTGTCACAAAGGATTCCAGAACACTGCTACGAATTTCTGAATGTTTTTCGCTGACATGTGATTTCAGAACACTGCTGTTGTGTTCTCAGTGTTTGTCCATCACATAAGGTTCCAGAACACTGCTGCTGGGTCCTGTGTGTTTGTCCCTCACATAGAATTCCAGAACACTGCTACGGGGTTCTAAATATTTTTCCCTCACATAGGATTCCAGAAGACTGCTGCTGGGTTCTGTTTGTTTCTCCCACAAAAAGGATTCCAGAACACCTATGCTGGTTTCTGAGCGTCTCTCACGTAGGATTCCAGAACACTTCCACGAGTGTCTGAATGTTTGTCACTCAGATAGGTTTCCAGAACACAGTGGCTGGGTTTGAGTGTTTGTCCCTCACATAGGATTCCATAATGCTGCTGCTGGGTTCTGATTGCTTGTTCCTCACATACGATTCCAGAACACTGCTTCTGAGTTCTGAGTCTTTGTTTCACATATAATTCCAGAACACTGCTGTTGGGTTCTGAGTGTTAGTCCCTCACCAAGGATTCCAGAACACTGCTGCTGGTTTCTGAGTGTTTGTACCTCACTTAGCTTTCAAGAACACTAATACTGAGTTCTGAGTGTTTGTCCCTTACGTAGGATTCCAGAACACTCCTACGAGGGTCTGAATGTATGTCCATCACAAAGGATTCCAGAACACTGCTGTTGGGTTCTGAGTGTTTCTCCCCTACATAGGAATCCAGAACACTGCTACTGGGTTGTGAGTGTTTGTGCCTCACATAAGATTCCAGAACACTGCTACGAGGGTCTGAATGTTTGTCTCTCACAAAGGATTCCATAACACTGCTGCTGGGTTCTGAGAGTTTGTACCTCACATAGGATTCCAGAACAGGGCTGCTAGGATCTCAGTGTTTGTCTCTCACATGGGATTCCAGAACACGACTGCTGGGATCAGAGTGTTTCGCCCTCACATAGGATTCCAGAACACTGCTGCTGAGATCACAGTGTTTTTCCCTCACATAGGATTCCAGAACACTGCCACGAGGTTCTGAATGACTGGCCCGCACAGACAATTCCAGAACCCAGTTCCTGGGTTCTGAGTGTTGTCACTCACATAGTATTCCAGAACACTGCAACTGGGTTCTGACTGTTTGTCCCTCATATTAGATTCCAGAACAATGCTACGAGGGTCTGAATGTTTTTCCTTCACATAGGATTCCAGAACACTTTTACGAGGGTGTGAATGTTTTTCCCTCCCAAAGGATTCCAGAAGACTGCTGCTGGGTTCTGAGTGTTTGTCCCTCATATAGGATTCCAGAGCACTGCTACGAGGGTCTGAATTTCTTTCCCTCACATAGGTTTCCAGAACACTGCTATAAGGATGTGAAAGTTTTTCCCTCAAAAGGATAGCAGCACACTGCTCCTGCGTTCTGTTTGTTTGTCACTCAGAAAGGATTCTAGAACACTGCTGCAGATTTCTTAGTGTTTGTCCGTCACACAGGATTCCAGAAAACTTCTACGAAGTTCGGAATGTTTTTCCTTCAGATAGGATTCCAGTACACAGTGGAATCCAGTACACAGCCACTGTTTCTGAGTGTTTGTACCTCACATAGGATTCCAGAACACTGCTGCTGGGTTCTGAATCTTTGTCCCACACAAAGGATTCTAGACCACTGTTGCTGTGTTCTGAGTGTTTGTCCCACACATAGGATTCTGAAAAACTGCTACGAGGGTCTGAATGTTTGTCCATCACAAAGGATTCCAGAAAACTGCTGCAGGGATTGTGGTGTTTGTCCCTCACGTAGGATTCCAGAACACTGCTTTGAGGTTCAGAATGTTTGTCACACAAAAAGGATTCTTGAACAGTGCTGCTGGTTTCTGAGTCTTTGTCGCTCAAACAGGATTACAGAACATTGCAGCTGGGTTCTGAGTGTTTGTCCCTCATATGGGATTGCAGAACACTGCTGCTGTGTTCTGAGTGTTTGTCCCTTACGTACGATTCCTGAACATTGCTATGAGGTTCCGAATGTTTGTTCCTCACAAAGGATTCCAGAACACTGCTGCTGGGTTCTGAGTGTTTGTACCTCACGTAGAATTCCAGAACACTGCTACGAAGTTGTGAAAGTTTGTCCCTCACAGAGGATTCCAGAACACTGCTGCTGGGCTCAGAGTGTTTGTCCCTCACATAGGACTCCAAACCACTGCTGCTGGGTTCGGAGCATTTGTCCCTCACATAGGATTCCAGCACACTGCTATGACGGTCTGAATGTTTATCCCTCAATAAAGGTTCCAGAACACTGCTACTGGGTTCTGAGTGTTTGTCCCTCATATTGGATTCCAGAACAATGCTACGAGGGTATGAAGGTTTCTCCCTCACATGGGATTCAAGAACACTATTAGGAGAGTGTGGTTTCCCGAGCGCTGCTGGTGGGTTCTGTGTGTTTGTCCCTCATATAGGATCCCAGAACACTGCTATGAGGGTATGAATGTTTTTCTATCACATAGGATTCCAGAACACTGCTATGAGGGTCTGAATATTTTTTCCTCACAAAGGATTGTAGAACACTGCTGCTGGGTTCTGAGTGTTTGTCCCTCACATAGGATACCAGAACACTGCTGCTGGGTTCTGAATGTTTGTCCCTCACTTAGGAATCCAGAACACTGCTGCTGGGTTCTCAGTGTTTGTCCCTCACATAGAATTCCAGAACACTGCTACAAACTTCTGAAAGTTTGTCGCTCACGTAGTATTCCAGAATATTGTGCTGGGTTCTAAGTGTTTGTCCCACACATAGGATTCCAGAACACAGCTGCTGGGTTCCGAGTGTTTGTCCCTCAGATAGGATTCCAAAATACTATTACGAGGGTCTGAATGTTTTTCCCTCACGAAAGATTCAAGAACACTGCTTCTGGGTTCTGATTGTTTGCCCCTCACAAAGGATTCCAGAGCACTGC
The DNA here is from genome assembly GCF_000001405.40 of Homo sapiens. NCBI lineage: Eukaryota > Metazoa > Chordata > Mammalia > Primates > Hominidae > Homo > Homo sapiens. Next base: position 15,420,075 of record NC_000022.11, read on the forward strand.
TGCTGGCTTCTGAGGGTTTTTCCCTCACATAGGATTCCAGAACTCTTCTACGAGTGTTTGAATATTTCTCCCTCAGATAGGATTCCAGAACACAATGACTGGGTTCTAAGTGATTTTCCCTCACATAGGTTACCAGAACACAGCTGCTGGGTTCTGAGTGTTTGTCCCTCACATAGGATTACACAACACTGCTGCTGGATTCGGAATGGTTGTCCCTCCCATAGGATTCCCGAACACTACTGCTGGGTTCTGAGTGTTTGTTCCTCACATAGGATTCTGGAACACTGCTACGAGGGTCTGAATGTTTGTCCAACAAAAAGGATTGCAGAACATTGCTTCTGGGTTCTGAGGGTTTGTCTCTCACATAGGATTCCAGAAGACTGCGTGGGTCTGAAAGTTTGTCTCTCATAAAGGACTCTAGAACACTGCTGCCGGGTTCTCAGTGTTTGTCACTCAAATAAGATTCCAGAACACTGCTGCTGGGTTCTGAGTGTTTGTCTCTCACATGGTATTCCAGAACATTGCTGCTTGGTTCTGAGTTTTTGTCCCTCACGTGTGATTCCAAAAGACTGCCACTGGGTTCAGAGTGTTTGTCCCTCACATACTATTCCAGAACACTGCTACTAGGTTCTGAATGTTTGTCCCTCACAAATTATTTCTGACCACTGCTGATGGGTTCTGAGTGTTTGTCCCCAACATAGGATTCCAGAACTCTGCTGCTGGGTTCTGTTTGTTTGTCCCTCACAAAGGAATCCAGAGCACTGATGCTGGTTTCTGAGTGTTTTTCCCGCACATAGGATGCCAGAACACTGCTACGATGGTCTGAGTGTTTCTCCGTCACAAAGGATTGCAGAATACTGCAGCTGGGTTCTCAGTGTTTGTCCCTCACATAGACCCAAAACACTGCTTGGAGGGTCTGAATGTTAGTCCCACACAAAGGATTCTAGAACACTGCTGCTGGGTTCTGAGTGTTTTTCCTTCACAGGGGAATCAAAAACACTGCAGTTGGGTTCAAAGTGTTCGGCCCTCACATATGATTCCAGAACACAGCTACAAGGTTCTGAATGATTGTCCCTCAAAAAGTATTCCAGAACACTGCTTTTGGGTTCTGAGTGTTTGTCGCTCACGTGGGATTCAAAAACACTGCTGCTGGGTTCAGAGTGTTTGTCGCTTACATAGGATGCCAGAACACGGCTCTTGATTTCTCAGTGTTTGTCCCTCACAAAGGATTCCAGAACACTTCTGCTGGTTTCTGAGTGTTTTTCCCTCACATAGGATTCCAGAACTCTTCCCCGAGGTTCCCAATATTTGACCCTCAGATAGGATTCCAGAACACAGTGGCTGGGTTTTGAGTGATTGTCCCACACTTCGGGAATCAGAACACTGCTGTTGGGTTCTGAGTGTTTCTCCTTCACACAGGATTCCAGAACACTGCTGCTGAGTTCTGAGTGTTTGTCCCTCAGATAGGATTCCAAAACACTGCCGCTCGATACTGAGGGATTGTCCCTCACATAGATTTCTAGAACACTGCAGCTTGTTTTTGAGGGTTTCTCTCTCACTTAGGATTCCAGAACACTGCTAAGTGTGTCTGAATGTTTGTCCCTCACAAAGAACTCCATATCACTGCTACGAGTGTCTGAACGCTTGTCCTTCACACCAGATTCCAGAACACTGCTACTGGGTTCTGAGTGTTTGTCCTTCACATAGGATTCCAGAACACTCCTCTGAGGGTGTGAGTGTTTGTCCCTCACATAGGATTCCAGAACACTGCTTCTGGATTTTGAGTGTTTGTCCCTCACATACGATTCCAGAATACTTCTGCAGGGTTCTGAGTGTTTGTTCCTCACTTAGGATACCAGAACTCTGCTGTTGGGTTCTGAGTGTCTGTCCCTCACATATCATTTCACAGCATGGCTGCTGGGTTCTGAGAGTTTGTCCCTCAAATAGAATTCCAGAACACTGCTGCTGAGTTTTGAGTGTTTGTACCTCACATACGATTCCAGAACACTGCTACGAGTCTCTGAATGATTGTCCATCACAAAGAATTCCAGAGCGCTGCTGCTAGTTTGTTAGTGTTTGTCCATCACATAGGATTCCAGAACACTTCTGCAAGAGTCTGAATGTTGTCACTCAGATAGATTCCAGTACACAGAGGCTGTGTTCTGAGTGTTTGTCCCTCACGTAGGATTCCAGAACACTGCTGCTGGTTTCTGAGTGTTTGTCCCACACATAGGATTCCAGAACACTGTTGCTGGGTTCTGAGTGTGTGTCCCTCACATAGGAATCCAGAAAAATGCTTCGAGAGTTTGAATGTTTGTCCCTCACAATGGATTATAGAACACTGCTCCTGGGTTCTGAGAGTTTGTCACTCACATAGGATTCCAGAACACTGATGCTGTGTTCTGAGTGTTTGCTCCTCACATAGGATTCCAGAACACTGCTTCCAGGGTCTGGATGTTTGTCCCTCACAAAGGATTCTAGAACACTGCTGCTGGGTTGTGAGTGTCTGTCCCTCACTTAAGATTCCAGAACACTGCTGCTGGATTCTGAGTGTTTGTCCCTCACATAGGATTCCAGAACACTGCTCCTGGGTTCTAAGTGCTCGTCCCCCACAAAGGAATCCAGAGCACTGCTGCTGGGTTCTGAGTGTTTGTCCCTTACATAGGATAACAGAACACTGCTAAGATCGTCTAAAGGTTTGTCTGTCTGAAAAGATTCCAGAAAACTGCTGCTGGGTTCTGAGCGTTTGTTCCCCACATAGGATTCCAGAACACTGATTCGATGGTCTGAATGTTTTTCCCTCACAAAGGATTCTAGAACACTGCTACAGGGTTAGTAGTGTTTGTCCCTCATATAGGATTGCAGAACACTGCTCCTGGGTTCTTAGTGTTTGTCCCTCACATTAGATTCCAGAACACTACTACTGGGTTCTGAGTGTTTGTCCCTCACAGAGGATTCCAGAACACTGCTCCTGGGTTCTGTAGGTTTGTCCATCACATAGCGTTCCAGAACACTGCTAAGAGTGTCTGGATGTTTGTCCATCACAAAGGATTCGAGAACGCTGCTACTGGATTCTGAGTGTGTGTTCCTCACATAGGATTCCATAACAATGCTTCGAGGGTTTGAAAGCTTGTCCCTCACAAAGGATTCCGGAACACTGCTGCTGGGTTTTGAGTGTTTGTCACTCACTTCGGATTCCAGAACCCTGCTGCTGGGTTCAGAGGGTTTGTCCCTCACATAACATTCCAGAACACTGCTTCGAGGGTCTGAATGTTTGTTCCTCACAAAGGAATCTAGAACAATGCTGCTGGGTTGTGAGTGTCTGTCCCTCAATTAGGATTTCAGAACACTGCTGTTGGGTTCTGAGCGTTTGTCCCTCACATGGGATTCCAGAACGCTGCTCCTGGGTTCTCAGTGTTTATCCCTTATGTAGGATTCCAGAACCCTCCTTCTCGGTTTGTTTGTCCCCCAAAAAGGAATCCAGAGCACTGCTGCTGGTTTCCGAGTGTTTGTCCCTCACATGAGATACCAGAACACTGCTATGATCATCTGAATGTTTGTCCCCCACAAAGGATTCTAGAACACCGCTGCTGTGTTCTGAGAGTTTGTCACTCACATAGGATTCCAGAAAAATGCTGCCGAGTTCTGAGTGTTTGTCCCTTTCATGGGATTCGAAAACATTGCTGCTGGGTTCAGAGTGTTGTCCCTCACATAGGATTGCAGAGCACTTCTACGAGGTTTTGAATGTTTGTCCCTCACAAAGGATTCCAAAACATTGCTGCTGGTTTGTGAGTGTTTGTCTCTCACATGGGATTACAGAACACTTCTGCTGGGTTCTGTGTGTTTGTCCCGCATATATTAAACCAGAACACTGCTGGTGGGTTTTGTGTGTTTCTCCCTCACATAGCATTCCTCAACATGCTGCTGGGTTCTGAGTGTCAGTCCCACACATACGATTCCAGAACACTGCTGCTAGGTTCTGAAGATTTCTCCCTCACATAGGATTCCAGTAAAAAGCTGCTTGTTTGTGAGTGTTTGTCCCTCACATAGGATTCCATAACAGTTCTGCTGGGTTCCGAGTGTTTGTCTCATATAGGATAACAGAACTCTGCTGCTTGGTTTTGAGTGTTTGTCCCTCACATAGCATTCCAGAACACTGCGGCTGGGTTCTGAGTGTTAGTCCCTCACATATGATTCCAGAACACTACTGCTAGGTTCTGAGGGTTTCTCCCTCACATAGGATTCCAGAACTCTGCTACAAGTTTCTGAATGTTTGTCCCTCACAGAGCATTCCAGAACAGTGCTATGATGGTCTGAATTATTGACCCATATATAGGATTCCAGAACACTGCTGCAGGTTTCTGAGTGTTTCTTCCTCACATAGGATTGCAGAGCATTGATGGTGGGTTCTGAGTGTTTGCACCTCACACAGGATTTCATAACATTGCTTCAGGGTTCTGAGTGTTTGTCAGTCACATAGGATTCCAGAACACTGCTGCTGAATTCTGAGTGTTTGCCCCTCACTTAGGTTTCCAGAACACTGCCACGAGGGCCTGAATGTTTGTCCATCACAAAGGATTCCAGAACAATTCTGCTGGGTTCTAAGTGTTTGTCCCTCACATAGGATTCTAGGACACTGCTTCGAGTGTCTGAATGTTTGTCTTCACAAAGAATTCTAGAACTCTGCTGCTGGGTTCTCAGTGTTTGTCCCTCACATAGGATTCCAGGACACTTCTACACATGTCTGAATGTTTGTCCCTCAGATAGGATTCCAGCACACAGTGACTGAGTTGTGAGTGTTTCTCCCTCACATAGGATTCCAGCACACAGTGACTGGGTTCTGAATGTTTCTCCCTCACATAGGATTCCAGAATACTGCTGCTGCCTTCTGAGTGTTTGACCCTCACATAGGATTCCAGAGCCCTGCTGCTGGGTTCTGAGTGTTTGTCCCTCACATAGGATTCTAGAGCACTGCTACTGGGTTCTGAGAGTTTGTCCCTCACATAGGATAGCGGAACAGTGCTACAATGGTCTGAATGTTTGTCCTTGAGATAGGATTCCAGCACACAGTGACTGGGTTCTGAATGTTTCTCCCTCACATAGGATTCCAGCACACAGTGACTGGGTTCTGAGTGTTTCTCCCTCACATAGGATTCCAGAACACTGCTGCTGCCTTCTGAGTGTTTGACCCTCACATAGGATTCCAGAACCCTGCTGCTGGGTTCTGAGTGTTTGTCCCTCACATAGGATTCTAGAGCACTGCTACTGGGTTCTGAGAGTTTGTCCCTCACATAGGATAGTGGAACAGTGCTACAATGGTCTGAATGTTTCTCCAAAACAAAGGAATCAAAAACACTGCTGCTGGGTTCTGAGTGTTTGTTCATCACATAGGATTCCAGAACACTGATTCTAGGGTCTGAAGGTTTTTTGCCCACAAAGGATTCTAGAACACTGCTGCTGGGTTCTGAGTGTTTTTCACTCACATAGGATTCCAGAACACTGCTGCTGAGTTCTGAGTGTTTCTGCCTCACATGGGATTCCAAAACAATGCTGCTGGGTTCAGTGTGTTTGTCCCTCACCTAAGATTCCAGAACACTGAAGAGAGTTTCTGAATGTTTGTCCCTCACAAAGGACTCTAGAACACTGCTGCTGGGTTCTAGTGTTTGTCCCTCACAAAGATTCCAGAACACTGCTGCTGGGTTCTGAGTATTTGTCACTCACATAGGATTGCAGAACACTGCTGCTGAGCTCTGAGATTTTGTCCCTCACGTAGGTTTCCAGAACACGGCTGCTGGGTTCTGAGTTGTTGTCCCTCACATACGATTCCAGAGCAGTGCTGCTGGGTTGTGAGTGTTTGCTCTCACATAGAATATCAGAACACTGCTACGAAGTTCTCAATGTTCGTCGCTCACATAGGATTGCAGAACACTGCTGCTGGGTTGTGAGGGTTTGTCTCTCACATACGATTCCAGACCACTGCTATGAGGGTCTGAATGTTTTTACCTCACATAGGATTCCAGAACACTGTTACTAGGACCTGAATGTTTTTCCCTCACAATTATTCCAGAACACTGCTGATGGGTTCTGTTTTTTTGTCCCTCACAAAGGATTCCAAAGCCCTGCTGCTGTTTTCTTAGTGTTTGTCCCTCACATAGTATTCCAGAACACTTCTACGAGTGTCTGAATATGTGTCCCTAATATAAGATTCCAGTACACAGTGTCTGGGTTCCCAGGGGTTATTCCTCAGACAGGATTCCAGAACACTGCTGTTGGGTTCTGAGTCTTTTTCCCTCACATGGCATTCCAGAATACAGCTGCTGGCTTCTGAGTGTTTGTCCCTCATATTGGATTCCAGAACAATGCTATTGAGGGACTGAATGTTTCTCCCTCACATAGGATTCCAGAACACAGCTACGAAGGTCTGAATGTTTTTCCATCACGCAGGATTCCAGAACACTGCTTTGAGGGTCTGAGTGTTTTTACCTCACAAAAGATTCAGAACACTGCTGGTGGGTTCTGAGTGTTTGTCACTCATATAGGATTCCAGAACACTGCTATGCGGGTCTGAATGTTTTTCCCTCACATAGGATCCCAGAACACTGCTAGGGGGGTCTGAGTGTTTTTCTCTCCCAAAGGATTCCAGAGCACTGCTGCTGGTTATTTAGAGTTTGTCCTTCACATAGGATTCCAGAACACTTCTACTAGGGTCTGAAGGTTTGACACTCAAATAGGATTCTGGTACACAGTGGCTGCGTTGTGAGTGTTTGTCCCTCACATAGGTTTCAAGAACAGTGCTGCTGGATTCCAAGTATTTGCCCCTCACATAGGATCCCAGAACATTTCTGCTGGGTTCTGAGTGTTTGTCTCTCACCTAGGATTCCTGAAAACTGCTACGAGGGTCTGAATATTTGTCCGTCACAAAGAATTGCAGAACATTGCTACTGGGATAGGAGTGTTTGTCCCTCACATAGGATTCCAGAACACAGCTTCTAGGTTCTGAATGTTAGCCCCTAACAAAGGATTCCAGTACTACGCTGCTGGTTTCTGGGTGTTTCTCACACACATAGGATTCCAGAACACTGCTGCTGGATTCTCAGTGTTTGTCTCTCACATGGGATTCCAGAACACTGCTGCTGGTTTCAGAGTGTTTGTCCCTCACATACGATTCCATAACACTGATATGAGGTTCTGAATGTTTCTCCCTCACTAAGGATTCCAGAACACTGCTGCAGGTTCTGAGTTTTTCTCCCTCATATAGGATTCCAGAACACTGCTGCTGGGTTCAGAGTGTTTTTCCATCACATAAGATTCCAGAACACTGCTACTAGGTTCTGAGTGTTTGGCCCTCACAAGGGATTCCAGAACACTGCTGCTGGGTCATGAGAGTTTGTCCCTCACATAGAACTCCAGAACTCTGCTCCTGTGTACTGTTTGTTTGTCCCTCACAAAGGATTACAGAGCACCGCTGCTGGTTTCTGATTGCTTATCACTCACATAAGATTCCAGAACACTTCTACGAGTGTTTGAATGTTTGTCCCTCAGACAGGATTCCAGCACACAGTGGCTGGGTTCTGAGTGTTGTTCCCTCACATAGGATTTCAGAACACTGTTTCGAGGGTCTGAAGATTTGTCCCTCACAAAGGAATCTAGAACAGTGCTGCTGGGTTCTGAGTGTTTGTCACTCACATAGAATTCCAGAACACTGCTGCTGGGTTCTGAGTGTTTGTGCCTCACAAGGGATTCCAAAACACTTCTGCTGGGTTCAGAGTGTTTGTCCTTCACTTACGCTTCCAGAACACTGCTGAGAGTTTCTGAATGTTTGTCCCATACAAAGGACTCTAGAACACTGCCCCTGGGTTCTAAGAGTTTGTCTCTCACATAGGATTCCAGAACACGGCTGCTGGGTTCTGAGAGTTTGTCCCTCACATACGATTCCAGAACACTGCTGCTGGGTTCTGAGTGTTTGTCCCTCACATAGGATTCCAGAAAACTGCAGGGGGATCTGAATGTTTGTCCATCAAAAAGGATTCAGGAACAATGCTGCTGGATCTGAGTGTTTGTCCCTCACATAGGATACCAGAACACTGCCACAACTGTCTGAATGTTTGTCTGACACAAAGGATTCCAGAACACTGCTGCCGCGTTCTGAGTGTTTGTCTCTCAAAAACGATTCCACAACACTGCTATGAGCTTCTGAATGCTTTTTCCTCACAGAGGATTCTAGAACACTTCTGCTGGGTTCGGAGTGCTTGTCCCTCAGAAGGGATTCCAGAACACTGCTGCTGGATTCTGAGTGTTTGTCCCTCACATAGGATTCCAGAACACTGCTGCTGGATTCTGAGTGTTTGTCCCTCACATAGGATTCCAGAACACTGCTTCTGGGTTCAGACTGTTTGTCACTCACATAGGATTCTAGAACACTGCTGCTGGTTTCTGAGGGTTTGTCCCTCACACAGGATTCCAAAACACTACTGCTGGGTCTCAGTCTCTGTCCCTCATATTGGATTACAGAAAAATGCTATGAGAGTCTGAATGTTTTTCCCTCACATAGGATTCCAGAACACTGTTACGAGGCTGTAAATGTTTTTCCTTCCCAAAGGATTCCAGAACACTGCTGTTGGGTTCTGAGTGTTTGTCCCTCACATAGGATTCCAGCACACTGCTTCGAGGGGCTGAATATTTATCCCTCACAAAGGGTTCCGAAACACTGTTATTGCGTTCTGACTGTTTGTCCCTCATATTGGATTCCAGAACAATGCTAAGAGGGTTTGAATGTTTTTCCCTCACATAGGATTCCAGAACACTTCTGCTGGGTTCAGAGTTCTTGTCCCTCAGAAAGGATTCCAGAACACTGCTGCTGGATTCTGAGTGTTTGTCCCTCACATAGGATTCCAGAACACTGCTGCTGGATTCTGAGTGTTTGTCCCTCACATAGGATTCCAGAACACTGCTGCTGGATTCTGAGTGTTTGTCCCTCACATAGGATTCCAGAACACTGCTTCTGGGTTCAGACTGTTTGTCACTCACATAGGATTCTAGAACACTGCTGCTGGTTTCTGAGGGTTTGTCCCTCACACAGGATTCCAAAACACTACTGCTGGGTCTCAGTCTCTGTCCCTCATATTGGATTACATAAAAATGCTATGAGAGTCTGAATGTTTTTCCCTCACATAGGATTCCAGAACACTGTTACGAGGCTGTAAATGTTTTTCCCTCCCAAAGGATTCCAGAACACTGCTGTTGGGTTCTGAGTGTTTGTCCCTCACATAGGATTCCAGCACACTGCTTCGAGGGGCTGAATATTTATCCCTCACAAAGGGTTCCGAAACACTGTTATTGCGTTCTGACTGTTTGTCCCTCATATTGGATTCCAGAACAATGCTAAGAGGGTTTGAATGTTTTTCCCTCACATAGGATTCCAGAACACTTCTGCTGGGTTCAGAGTTCTTGTCCCTCAGAAAGGATTCCAGAACACTGCTGCTGGATTCCAAGTGTTTGCCCCTCACATAGGATTCCAGCACACTGCTTCGAGGGTCTGAACGTTTATCCCTCACAAAGGGTTCCAAAACTCTGTTATTGCTTTCTGACTGTTTGTCCCTCATATTGGATTCCAGAATAATGCTATGAGGGTTTGAATGTTTTTCTCTCACATAGGATTCCAGAACACTGTTATGAGGGTGTCAATATTTTTCCCTCCCAAAGAATTCCAGAACACTGCTGCTGGGTTCTGAGTGTTTGTCCCTCATATAGGATTCCAGGACTCTGCTACGAGGGTCTAAATGTTTTTCCCTCACATAGGATTCCAGAACACTGCTACGAAGGTCTGAATATTTTTCCCTCACAAGGGATTTTAGAACACTGCTACTGGGTTCTGTTTATTTGTCCCTCACAAAGGATTCCAGACTACTGCTGCAGGTTTCTTAGTGTTTCTCCCTCACATAGGATTCCAGAACACTTCTACGAAGTTCTGAATGTTTGTCCTCAGATAGGATTCCAGTACACAGTGGCTGGATTCTGAGTGTTTCTCCCTCACATAGGATTCCAGAACACTGCTACAAGGTTATGAATGTTTGTCCCTCACAAAGGATTCTACAACACTGCTACTGGGTTCTGAGTGTTTGTCCCTCCCATAGGATTCCAGGACACTGCTGCTGAGTTCTAAGCGTTTGTCTCTTACCTAGGATTCCAGAACATTGCTGCTGGGTTCTGAGTGTTTGTCCCTCACATAGAATTCCAGAACAATGCCACGAAGATCTAAAAGGTTTTCGCTCACATAGGAATCCAGAAGACTTCTGCTGGTTTCTGAGTGTTTGTCTCTCTCATGGGATTCCAGAACACTACTGCTGGGTTCTGAGTGTTTGCCCTCACATAGGATTCCAGAACACTGCTACAAGGGTCTGAATGTTTGCCCTCAGATATGATTCCAGTACACAGTGGCTGAATTCTGAGTGTTTCTCATTCACGTAGAATTCCAGAACAGTGCAACAAGGTTCTCAATGTTTGTCCCTCACAAAGGATTCTAGAACACTGCTGCTGGGTTCTGAGTGTTTGTCCCTCACAAAGGATTCTAGAACACTGCTTCTGGGTTCTGAGTGTTTGTCCCTCAGATAGGATTCCAGAACACTGCTGCTGTGTTCTGAGTGTTTGTCCCTCACTTAGGATTCCAGGACAGTGTTGCTGCGTTCTGAGTGTTTGTTCCTCACATAGAATTCCAGAACACTGCTACGAAGTTCTGAAAGTTTGTCACTCACATAGCTTTCCAAAACACTGCTCCTGGGTTCTGAGTGTTTGTCCCTCACATACGATTTCAGAACGCTGTTACGAGGCTCTGAATGTTTATCCCTCACAAAGGGTTCCAGAACACTGCTACTGGGCTCTGATTGTTTGTCCCTCATATTGGATTCCAGAACAATGCTACGAGATTCTAAATGTATTTCCCTCACATAGGATTCCAGAACACTGTTAGGAAGATGTGAAAGGTTTTCCCTTCCAAAGTATTCCAGAACACTGATGCTGGGTTCTGAGTGTTTGTCCCTCATATAGGATTTCAGAACACTGCTACGATGGTCTGAATGTTTTTCCCTCACATAGGATTCCAGAACACTTCTACGAGGTTCTAAATATTTGCCCTCAGATAGAATTCCAGTATGCAGTTACTGGATTCTGAGTGTTTTTCACTCACATATGATTCCTGAACACTGTTGCTGTTTTCTGAGTGTCCGTCCCTCTCTTAGGATTCCAGAACACTGCTGCTGGGTCAGGAGTGTTTGTCCCTCACATAAGATTCAAGAACACAGCTGCTGGGTTGTGTGTGTTTGTCCCTCACATATGTTTCCAGAACACGGCTACGAGGGTCTGAATGTTTATCCCTCACAAAGGTTTCCAGAACACTGCTACTGGGATCTGAGAGTTTCTGCCTCATGTTGGATTCCAGAAAAATGCTACGACGGTCTGAATGTTTTTTGCTCACACAGGATTCCAGAACACTGTTACGAGGGTGTGAATGTTTTTCACTCCCAAAGGATTCCAGAACACTGCTGCTGGCTTCTGAGAGTTTGTGCCTCATATAAGATTCCAGAAAACTGTTACAAGGATCGGAATGTTTTTCCCTCAGAAAGGATTGTAGAACACTCTTTCTGGGTTCTGTTTGTTTCTTCCTCACAAAAAAACTACAGAACACTGCTGCAGATTTCTTAGTGTTTGTCCCTCACATAGGATTGCAGAACACTTCTAGAGGTTCTGAATGTTTCCCCTCAGGCAGGAGTCCTGTACACAGTGTCTGGATTCTGAGTGCTTCTCCCTCACTTAGGATTCCAGAACACTGCTGCTGGGTTCTGAGTGTTTGTCCCTCACATAGGATTCTAGAACACTGCTACGAGGGTCTGAATGTTTTTTCCTCACAAAGGGTTCCAGAACATTGCTGCTGGGTTCTGAGTGTTAGTCCCTCATATGGGATTCCAGAGCAATGCTACGAGGGTCTGAATGTTTTTCCCTCACACAGAATTCCAGAATACTGTTATGACGGTGTGAATGTTATTCCCTCCCAAAGGATTCCAGAACACTGCTGCTGGGTACTGAGTGTTTGTCCCTCAGATAGGATTCCAGAACACTGCTACGAGGGTCTGAATGTTTTTTCCTCACCAAGGATTGTAGAACACTGCTACTGGGTTCTGTGTGTTTGTCCCTCAGATAGGATTCCAGAACACTGCTACGAGGGTCTGAATGTTTTTTCCTCACCAAGGATTGTAGAACACTGCTACTGGGTTCTGTGGGTTTGTCCCTCAGAGGATTCCAGAGCACTGTTAGAGATTTCTAAGTGTTTGTCCCTCACATATGATTCCAGAACACTTCTACAAGGTTCTGAATGTTTGCCCTCAGATAGAATTCCAGTACACAGTGGCTGTATTCTGACTGTTTGTCCCATAAATAGGATTCTAGAACACTGCTACAAGATTCTGAATGTTTGTCCCTCACAAAGATTCTAGAACACTGCTGCTGGGTTCTGAGTGTTTGTCCATCACATGGGATTCCAGAACTCTGCTGCTGGGTTCTGAGCGTTTGTCCCTCACTTACGATTCCAGAACACTACTACGAAGTTCTGAAAGTTTGTTGCTCACATAGGATTCTGGAACACTGCTACTGCGTTCTGAGTGTTTGTCCCTCACATAGCATTCCAGAACAGTGCTGCTGGGTTCTGAGTGTTTGTCCCTCACGTAGGATTCCAGAACACTACTACGAGGGTCAGAATGTTTATCCATCACAAAGGGTTCCAGAACACTGCTACTGGGTTCTGAGTGTTTATTCCTTATACTGGATTTCAGCACAACGCTACGATAGTCTGAATATTTTTCTCTCACGTAGGATTCCAAAACACTGTTACGATGGTGTGAATGTTTTTCCCTCCCAAAGGATTTCAGAATACTGCTGCTGGGTTCTGAGTGTTTGTCCCTCATATAGGATTCTAGGACACTGCTACGAGGGTCTGAATGTTTTTCCCTCACATAGGATTCCAGAACACTGCTACTAGGGTCTGAATGTTTTTCCCTCACAAAAGACTGTAGAGCACTGCTACTGGGTTCTGTTTGTTTTTCCCTAACAAAGGATTCCAGAGCACTGCAGCAGATTTCTTAGTGTTTGGCCCTCACATAGCATTGCAGAACAATTCTACGAGCTTCTGAATGTTTGATCTCACACAGGATTCCAGTACACAGTGGCTGGATTTTGAGTGTTTGTCCCTCACATAGGATTACAGAACACTGCTATGAGGTTCTGAGTGTTTGTCCCTCACAAAAGATTCTAGAACGCTGTTGCAGGCTTCTGAGTGTTTGTCACTCACGTAGGATTCCAAAACACTGCTACGAGGTTCTGAATATTTTTCCCTCACAAAGGATTCCAGAACACTGCAGCTGGGTTCTGAGTGTTTGTCCCTGACATGGAATTCGTGAACACTGCTACGAATTTCTGAATCTTGGTCGCTCACACAGGATTCCAAAACAGTGCTGCAGGGTCCTGAGTGTTCGTCCCTCACATAGGATCCCAGAACACTGTTACGAGGGTCTTAATGTTTTTCTCTCAGAAAGCATTCCGGAACACTGCCGCTAGGTTCTGTTTGTTTATCCCTCACAAAGGACTCCAGAGCACTGGTGCTAGTTTCTCAGTGTTTGTCCCTCACGAAGGATTGCAGAACAATTCTCCGAGTGTCTGAATGTTTGTCCCGCATATAGGATTCCAGAATACAGAGGCTGGGTTTTGAGTCTTTGTCCCTCATATACGATTCCAGAGCATTGCTGCGAAGTTCTTAATGTTTGTCGCTCACATAGGATTCCAGAACACTGCTGTAGTGTTCTATGTGTTTGTCCCTCACATAGGATTCGAGAACACTTCTGTAGGATTCTGAGTGTTTGTCCCTCTCATAGGATTAAAGAACATTGCCACCAGGTTCTGAATGTTTTTCCCTCATGAAGGATTCCACAGCACTGCTGCTGTGTTCTGAGTGTTTGTCCCTTACATAGGTTTCCAGAACACTGCTGTTGGGTTCTGAGAGTTTGTCCCTCACATAGGATTCCAGAACACAGCTACGAGGGTCCGAATGTTTTTCCCTCAAAAATGATTCCTAAACACTGCTACTGGTTTTGTTTGTTTTTCCTCACAAAGGATTCCAGAGCACAGCTGCTGGGTTCTACATGTTTTTCCCTCACATAGGATTCCAGAACACTTCTATGAGTGTCTGAATGTTTGTCTCTAAGATAGGATTCCAGATCACAGTGGTTGGGTTCTGACTGTTTGTCCCTCACCTAGGATTCTAGGACACTGCTGCTGAGTTCTGAGTGTTTGTCCCTCACAAAGGATTACAGAACACTGCTGCTGAGTTCTGAGTCTTTGTCCCTCACATAGGATTGCAGAACACTGCTACGAAGTTCTGAATCTTTGTCACTTGCACAGGATTCCAAATCACTGCTGCAGGGTTCTGAGTGTTTTCACCACACATAGGATTCCAGAACACTGCTGCTGGGTTCCTAGTGTTTGTTCCTCACAGAGGATTCCAGAACACTGCTTCGGGTGTCTGAATGTTTGTCCCTCACAAAGTATTCTAGAACACTGCTGCTGGGTTCTGAGTGTTTGTCACTCACATAAGACTCCAGAACACGGCTGCTGGGTGCTGAGTGTTTGTTCCTCACAAGGAATTCCAGAACACTGTTGCAGGGTTAAGAGAGTTTTTCCCACACATAGGTTTCCAGAACACTGCTAAGAGCTTCTGAATGTTTGTCCTTCACAAAGGATTCCAGAACACTGCTGCTGGGTTCTGAGGGTTTGTCCCTCACATAGGATTCCAAAACACTGCTAGTGGGATCTGTTTGTTAGTTCCTCACAAAGGATTACAAAGCACTGCTGCTGGATTCTGAGTGTGTGTCCCTCACATAGGATTCCAGAACACGACTGCTATGTTCTGGGTGTTTGTTCCTCACATAGGATACCAGAACACTGCTACTGGGTTCACAGTGTTTGTCCCTCACATAGGATTCCAAAACACTGTTACAAGATTCTGAATGTTTGTCCCTCACAATCGATTCCACAACACTACTCCTGGGTTCTGAGAGTTTGTACCTCACATAGGATTCAAGAACACTGCTACAGGGTTCTGTGTGTTTGCCCTGCACAAAGGATTACAGAGCACTGCTGCTGGTTTCTGAGTGTTGGTCCTTCACATAGGATTCCAGAACACTGCTTCGAGTGTCTGAAGGTTTGTCCCTCACAAAAGATTCTAGAACACTGCTGCTGGGTTCTGAGTGTTTGCCCCTCACATGGGATTCCGGAACACTGCTTTGAGTGTCTGAATGTTTTTCCCTCACAAATGTTTCCAGAACACGGCTGCTGGATTCTGTTTGTCCCTCACAAAGGATTCCATAGCGCCGCTGATGGTTTCTGAGTGTTTGTCCCTCACATAGGATTCCAGAACACTTCTGCGATTGTCTGAATGTTTGTCCCTCCGAAAGGATTCCAGAGCACAGTGGCTGGATTCTTAGTGTTTGCCCCTCACGTAGGATTCCAGAACACTGCTGCTTGGTTCTGAGTGTTTAACCCTCCCATAGGATTCCAGAGCACTGCTGCTGGTTTCTGTTTGTTTGTTCCTCCCAAAGGATTACAGAGCACTGCTGTTGGGTTCTCAGTGTTTGTCCCTCACATACGATTCCAGAACACAGCTGTTTGATTCTGTGTGTTAGTGCCTCACATAGAATTCCAGAACACGGCTGCTGGGTTCTGAGTGTTTGTCCCTCACATAGGATTCCAGAACACTGCCGCTGGGTTCTGAATGTTTGTCCCTCACATAGGGTTCCAGAACACTGATACCAGTTTCTGAGTGTTTGTCCCTCACACAGGATCCCAGGACACTGCTACGAGTGTCTAAATCTTTTTCCATCACAAATGATTCCAGAACACTGCTGCTGGGATCTGAGTGTGTGTACCTCACATAGGATTCCAGTACACTGCTACGAATGTCTGAATGTTTTTCCCTCAAATATGATTCCAGAACACTGCTGCTACATTTGTTTGTTTTTCCTCAGGAAGGATTCCAGAGCACAGCTGCTGGTTTCTGCATGTTTTTCCCCCACAGAGGATTCCAGAACACTTCTATGAATGTCTGAATGTTTGTCCCTCAGAGAGGTTTCCAGAACACAGTGGCTAGGTTCTGATTATTTGTCCTTCACATAGGATTCCAGAACGCTGCTGCTGGGTTCTGAGTTTTTGTCCCTCACATAGGATTCCAGAACAGTGCTGCTGGGTTCTCAGTGTGTGCCTCTTACATGGAATTCCAGAACAATGCTATGAATTCCTGAGTCCTTGTCGCTCACACAGGATTCCAAAGCACTGCTGCTGGGTTCTGAGTGTTTTTACCGCACATAGGATTCCAGGACACTGCTGCTGGGTTCTGAGTGTTTGTCCCTCACATAGGATTCCAGAACACTGCTACAAGTGTCTGAATGTTTTTGCCTCAGAAAGGATTCCAGAACACTACTGTTGGGATCTCTCTGTTTGTCCCTCACAAAGGATTCCACAGTACTGCTGTTGGTTTCTGAGTGTTTGTCCCTCACATAGGATTCCAGAATAATTCTAAGAGTGTCTAAATGTTTATCTCTCAGATTGGAATCCAGAAAACAATGGTTTGGTTCTCAGGGTTTGTCCCTTACATAGGATTCCAGAACACAGCTACGAAGTTCTGAATGTGTCTCGTACACATAGGATTCCAGAACACTGCTGCTGGATTCGGAGTGTTTGTCCCTCACATACCATTCCAGAACACAGCTGCTGGTTTCTGAGTGTCTATCCCTTACATAGAATTCCAGAACACTGTTCCTGTGTTCTGAGTGTTTGTCCCTCACATAGGATTCCAAAACACTGCTACTGGGTTCTGAGTGTTTGTCCCTCTCATAGGATTCCAGAACACTGCTAATGGGTTCTGAGTGTTTGTCCCTCACATAGGATTCCAAAACACTGTTACTGGTTTCTGAGTGTTTGTCCCTCTCATAGGATTCCAGAACACTGCTAATGGGTTCTGAGTGTTTGTCCCTCACATAGGATCCCAGAACACTGCTACGAGGGTCTAAATCTTTTTCCTTCACAAAGGATTCCAGAACACTGCTGCTGGTAACTGAGTGTGTGTCCCTCACATAGGATTCCAGAACACTGTTTCGAGTGTCTGAATATCCCTCACAAAGTATTGTAGAACACTGCTGCTGGGCTCTTAGTGTTTGTCACTCACTTAGGATTCCAGAACACTGCTGCTGGGTTCTGAGGGTTTGTCTCTCACATGATATTCGTGAACACTGCTGCGAAGTTCTGAATATTTGTTGTTCTCACAGGATTCCAAAACACTACTGCTGGGTTCTGAGTGTTTGTCCCTCACATAGGATTCCAGAACAATTTTATGAGGGACTTAAAGTTTTTTTCTCAGAAAGGATTCCAGAACACTGCTGCTGTTTTCTGTTTGTTTGTCCCTCACTGAGGACTCCAGAGCTCTGCTGCTGGTTTCTGAGTGTTTCTCCCTCACATAGAATTTCAGAACACTCCTACGAGTTTCTAAATGTTTGTCCCTCAGATAGGATTCCAGAACACAGTAGCTGGGTTTTGAGTGTTTGTCCCTCACATAAGATTCCAGAACACTGCTACGAAGTTCTGAATGTTTGTCACTCACATAGGATTCCAGAACACTGCTTCTGTGTTCCGTTTTTTGTCCCTCACACAGGATTCCAAAACACTCCTGCAGGGTTTGGAATGTTTGTCCCTCACATTAGACTCCAGAACACTGCTGCTGTGTTCTGTGTGTCTGTACCTCAGGTACAATTCAAGAACACTACTGCTGGGTTATGAGTGTTTGTCTCTCAAGTAGGATTCCAGAACACTGCTGCTGGTTTCTGAGAGTTTGTACCTCACATAGGATTCCAGAACACTGCAACTGGGTTCTGAGTGTTTGTCCCTCTCATGGGATCCCAGAAAACTGTTATGAGGGTCTAAATGTTTGTTCATCACAAAGGATTCCAGAACACTGCTGCTGGGTTCTGATTCTTTGTCCCTCACATAGGATTACAGAGCACTGCTTCGAGTGTGTGAGTGTT
Organism: Homo sapiens; assembly: GCF_000001405.40. Taxonomy (NCBI): domain Eukaryota; kingdom Metazoa; phylum Chordata; class Mammalia; order Primates; family Hominidae; genus Homo; species Homo sapiens. Next base: position 15,438,188 of record NC_000022.11, read on the forward strand.
TGTTCCTCACAAAGGATTCTAGAACACTGCTGCTGGGTTCTGAGTGTCACTCACTTAGGATTCCAGAACACTGCTGCTGGGTTCTGAGTGTTTGTCCCTCACATCTGATTCGTGAACACTTCCACGAAATTCTGAATACTTGTCCCTCACACAGGATTCCAAAACTCTACTGCTGGATTCTGAGTGTTTCTCCCTCATATAGGATTCCAGAACATTCTTTCGAGAGTCTTAATGTTTTCTCTCTGAAAGGATTCCAGAACACTGCGCTGGGTTCTTTATGTTTGTCCCTCACAAAGAACTCCAGAGCACTGCTACTGGTTTCTGAGTGTTTGCCCTCACATAGGATTCCACAAAATTTCTATGAGTGTCTGAATGTTTGTCCCTCAGATAGTATTCCAGAACACAGTGGCTGGGGTTTGAGTGTTTGTCCCTCAAATAGGATTCCAGAACACAGCTGCTGGGTGTTGAGAGGTTTTCCGTCACATAGGATTCCAGAACACTGTTACGAGGGTCTGAATGTTTTTCCCTCACAAAGGATTCCAGAGCACTGTTACTGGTTACTGCCTATTTTTCCTTCACGTAGGATTACAGAACACTTCTGCGAGTGTCTGAATGTTTGTCTCTCAGATAGGATTCGAGAAAACAGTGGCTGGGTTCTGAGTGTTTGTCCCTCACATACTATTCCAGAATACTGCCACTGGGTTCTCAGGGTTTTTCCCTCACATGGGATTCCAGAACACTGCTATGAAATTCTGAATCTTTTTCACTCACACAGGATCCCAAAACACTGCTGCTGGGCTCTGACAGTTTGTCCTTGACATAGGATTCCAGAACACCGCTGCTGGTTTCTGAGTGTTTGTCCCTAACATGGGATTCCAGAACACTGCTGCTGGGTTCAGTGTATTTGTCCCTCAAATGGGATTCCACAACACTGCTACAAGGTCCTGAATGTTTGTCCCTCAGAAACGAATCCAGAACACTACTGCTGGTTTCTGAGTGTTTGTCCCTGGCATAGGATTCCAGAACACTGCTGCTGCGTTCTGTTTGTTTGTCCCTTACAAAGGATTACAGAGCACTTCTGCTGGTTTCTGAGTGGTTGTCCCTCACATAGGATTCCAGAACCCTGCTTCGATTGTCTGAATGTTTATCCCTCACAAAAAATTCTAGAACACTGCTGCTGGGTTCTGAGTGTTTGTCTCTCACATTGGATTCCAGAACACTGCTGCTGGGTTGTGAGTATTTGTCCATCACATAGGATTCCAGAGCACTGTTGCGAGGGTCTGAATGTTTTTCTCTCACAAAGGATTCCAGAACACTGCTGCTGTTTCTGTTTGTCCCTCAAAAAGGATTCTACAACACTTCTACGAGTCTCTGAATGTTTGTCACTCAGATAGGATTCCAGAAAACTGTGCAGACTTCTGAGTGTTTGTCCCTCACATAGGATTCCAGAACACTGCTGCTGGGTTCTGAGTGTTTGTCCTGCACCCAGAATTCGAGATCCCTGCTGTTGGGTTCTGAGTGTTCGTGCTCACATAGGATTCCAGGACACTGCTCCTGGGTTCGGAGTGTTTGTCTCTCGCATACGATCCCATAACACTGCTGCTGGGTTCTGAGTATTTGTCCCTCCCACAGGATTGCAGAACACTGCTGCTGGGTTCTGAGCGTTTGTCCCCCACATGCGTTTCGTGAACACTGCTACGAAGTTCGGATTCTTTGTCGCTCACTCAGGATTCCAAAACACTGCTGCTGGGTTCTGAGTGTTTGTCCCTCACATGGGATTACAGATCACAGCTGCTGTATTCTGAGTGTTTGTTCCTCACATAAGATACCAGAACATTGTTGCTGGGTTGTATGTGTTTGTCCCTCACATTGGATTCCAGAACACTGCTGCTAGGTTGTCCCTCACGTAGGATTCCAGAATACTGCTACAAGGGTATGAAAGTTTGTCTCTCACAAAGGATTCCAGAACACTGCTCCTGGTTTCTGGGTGTTTGTCCCTCACATATAATTCCCAAACACTGCTGTAAGGGTCTGAATATTTGTCCCTTATAGGGATTCCAGAACACTGTTTTTGAGTTCTGAGTGTTTGCCCCTCACAAAGGATTCCAGAACACTGCTACGAGGGTCCAAATGTTTGTCCCTCACAAAGGATTCCGTATCACTGCTATGAGTGTCTGAATTCTTGTCCCTCACATAGGATTCCAGAACACTGCTACTGGGTTCTGAGTGTTTGCCCTTCACATAGGATTCCAGAACACTGCTCCGAGGGTCTGAATGTTTGTCCCTCCCATAGGAATCCAGAACACTGCTGCTGGTTTGTGAGTGTATATCCCTCATATAGGATTCCAGAACATTTCTGCTGGGTTCTGAGTGTTTGTCCCTCATATAGGATACCAGAACACTGCTACTGGGTTCTGATTGTTTCTCCCTCACATAGCATTCCTGAACACGGCTGCTGGGTTCTGAGTGTTTGTCCCTCACAAAAGAATGTAGAACTCTGCTGCTGGGTTCTGAGTGTTTGTCTCTCATCTAGGATTCCAGAACACTGCTGCTGGGTTCTGAGTGTTTGTCCCTCACTTAGGATCCCAGGACACTGCTACGAGGGTGTGAAAGTTTTTCCATCGCAAAGGATTCCAGAATACTGCTCCTGGGTTCAGAGTGTTTGTCCCTCACATAGGATTATAGAACACTACTAAGAGGGTCTGAATGTTTTTCCCTCACATAGGATTCCAGAACACTGCTGCTCGGTTCTCAGTGTGTGTCCCTCACATAGGATTCCAGCATACTACTGCTGTGTTCTCAGTGTTTGTCCCTCACAGAGGATTCCAGAACACTGCTGCTGATTTCTGAGTGTTTGCCCTTCACATAGGATTCCAGAACACTGTCGCGAGGGTCTGAATGTTTGTCCATCACAAAGGATTCCAGAACACTGCTGCTGGGTTCTGAGTGTTTATCCCTCACAGAGGATTCCAGAACACTGCTGCTGTGTTCTGAGTGTTTGTCTCTCATCTAGGATTCCAGAACACTGCTGCTGGGTTCTGAGTGTTTGTCCCTCACTTAGGATCCCAGGACACTGCTACGAGGGTGTGAAAGTTTTTCCATCGCAAAGGATTCCAGAATACTGCTCCTGGGTTCAGAGTGTTTGTCCCTCACAGAGGATTCCAGAACTCTGCATCCAGGGTCTGAATTTTGTCCGTCGCAAAGGACTCTAGAACACTGCTCCTTTGTACTGAGTGTTTGTCACTCACATAGGATTCCTGAACACCACTGCTGGGTTCTGAGTGTTTGTCACTCACATGGGATTCCAGTACACTGCTGCTGGGTTCAGAGTGTTTCACCCTCTCATAGGATTCCATAACACTGCTATGAGGTTCCGAATGTTTGTCCCTCAGAAAGGACTCCAGAACACTCCTGCTGGGTTCTGAGTGTTTGTCCCTCACATAGGATTCCAGAACACTTATATGAGTGTCTGAATGTTTTTCCCTCATATAGGATTCCAGAACACAGTGGCGGGGTTCTGAGTGTTTGTCCCTTACGTAGGATTCCAGAACACTGCTGGTGGGTTCTGAGGGTTTGATCCTCATCTAGGATTCCAGAACACAGCTGTTGCATTCTGAGTGTTTATCCCTCAGATAAGTTTCCAGAACCCTGATGCTGGGTTCTGAGTGTTTGTCCCTCACATAGGATTCTAGAACACTGCTGCTGGGTTCTGAGTGTTTGTCCTTCACATAGGATTCCAAAACACTGCCACGGGGTTCTGTTTGTTTGCCCATCACAAGGATTCCAGAACAGGATTGCTGGTTTCTGATTGTTTGTCCTTCACGTAGAATTCCGGAAAACTGCTACGAGTGTCTGAAAGTTTGTCAATCACAAAGGGTTCCAGAACACAGTGGCTGGGTTCTTAGTGTTTGTCCCTCACATAGGATTCCAGAAATTAATGCTGGTTTCTGAGTGTTTCTCCAACACATAGGATTCCAGAACCCTGCTGCTGGTTTCTGAGTGTTTGTCCCTCACATGGGATCCCAGAACACTGCTTCTGGGTTCTGATTGTTTCTCCTTCGCATATGATTCCAGAACACTACTAAGAGATTCTGAATGTTTGTCCCTCACAAAGGATTACAAAACACTGCTGCTGGGTACTTAGTGTTTGTCCCTCATACAGTAATCCAGAGGACTGCTACTGTGTTCTGAGTGTTTGTCCCTCACATAGGACACCAGAACTCTTCTATGAGTGTCTGATTATTTATCACTCAGGTGGGATTCCAGAACACAGTGGCTGGGTTCTGAGTGTCTGTCCCTCACATCCGATTCCAGAACACTTCTTCGAGGGTCTGAAGTTTTGTCCCTCATAAATGATTCCAGAACTCTGCTGCAGGGTTCTGAGTGTTTGTCCCTCACATAGGATTCCAGAACACTGCTACAACGGTCTGAATGTTTGTCCATCACAAAGGATTGCCCAACACTACTGCTCGGTTCTGAGTGGTTGTCCCTCACATAGGATTCCAGAACACTGTTTTGAGGGTAAGCATGTTTGTCCCTCAAAGAGGATTCTAGAACACTGCTTCTGTGTTCTGAGTGTTTGTGACTCACATAGGATGCCAGAACACTGCTAAGTGGGTCTGTATGATTTTTCCTCATATTGGATTCCAGAACACTGCTACTAAGTTCTGAATGTTTTTCCCTCACAAAGGATTCCAGAACAGTGTTGCTGGGTTCTGTTTGTCCCTCACAAAGGATTCCAGAGCACTGCTGCAGGTTTCTTAGTGTTTGTCTCCCACATAGGATTCCAGAATACTTCTACGAGGGTCTGAATGTTTGTCCCTCATATAGGATTCCAGTACATAGTGTCCGGGTTCTGATTGTTTGTCGCTCACATAGGATTGCAGACAACTGCTGCTGGATTCTGAGTGTTTGTCCCTCACATAGGACTCCAGAACACTGCTGCTCAGTTCTGACTGTTTGTCACTCACATGGGATTCCAGAACACTGTTGTTGTGTTCTGAGAGTTTGTTCTCCACTTAGGATTCCAGAACACTGCTACGAGGTTCTGAATGTTTGTCCCTGACAAAGGATTCCAGAACACTGCTGCTGAGTTCAGAGTGTTTGTCCCTCACAAGAAATTCCAGAGCACTGCTTCTAAGTTCTGAATGTTTGTTGCTTACATAGGATTTCAGAACACTGCTGCTGGGATCTGAGAGTTTGTCCCTCACTTAGGTGTCCGGAAGACTGCTGCTGTGTTCTGAGTGTTTTCCCTCATGTAGGATTCCAGAACACTGCTACGAGTGTCTGAATGGTTTTCCCTCACAAAGGTTTCCTAAACACTGTTGCTGTGTTCTGTTTGTTTGTCCCTCATAAAGGTTTCCAGAGCACTACCCACTACTACGAGGGTCTGAATGTTTGCCCATCACAAAGGATTGCACAACACTGCTGCTGGGTTCTGAGTGTTTGTACCTCACATAGGATTTCAGAACACTCCTGCTGGATTCTGAGTGTTTCTGCCTCACATACGATTTCAGAATACTGCTGCTGGGTTCCGAGAGTTTGTCACTCAAATAGGATTCCAGAAAACTGCTGCTGATTTCTGAGTGTTTTTCCCTCACTTATGATTCCAGAACACTGCTATGAGGTTCTGAATGCTTGTCTCTCACAAAGGATTCCAGAACAGTACTGATGGCTTCTGAGTGTTTGTCCCTCACTTAGGATTCCAGAACAATTCTACGGGGTTGTGAATGCTTGTCCCTCATAACGGATTCCAGAACACTGCTGCTGAGTTCTAAGTGTTTGTCCCTCACAGAGGATTCCACAGCACTGCTGCTGGTTTCCAAGTGATTGTCCCACGAATAAGATTCCAGAATACTTCTACGAGTGTCTGAATGTTTGTCCCTCAGATATTATTCCAGAACACAGTGGCTGGGTTCTGAGTGTTTTTCCCCCACATAGGATTCCAGAATACAGCTACGAATATCTGAATGTCACTCACATAGGATTTCAGAACACTGCTGCTGGGTTCTGAACGTTTCTCACTCACATAGGGTTCAAGAAAACTGCTATGAAGGTCTTAATGTTTGTCCATCAGTAAGGATTCCAGAATACTGCTTCAGGGATCTGAGTGTTTGTTTCATACATAGGATTCCAGAACCCTGTTTCGAGTTTCTGGATATTTGTCCCACACAGAGGATTCTAGAGCACTGCTGCTGGTTTCTGAGGGTTTGTCACTCACATAGGATTCCAGAACACTGCTACTGGGTTCTGAGTGTTTCTCCCTCACATAGGATTTCAGAACACTGCTGCTGGGTTCTGAGTGTTTGATCCTCACATGGGATTCCAGAACAATGCTAAGAAGTTCTGAGTCTATGTCGATCATACCGGATTCCAAAACACTGCTGCTGGGTTCTGAGCGTTTGTCCCTCACATTGTATTCCAGAAGATTGCTGCTGGGTTCTGAGTGTTTGTTCCTCACATAGGATTCCAGAACACTGCTACGAGGTTCTGAATGTTTGCCCATCACAAAGGATTCCAGAACACTTCTGTGGGGTTCTGAGTGTTTGTCCCTCACAAAGGATTCCAGAGAACTGCCGCTGGTTTCTGAGTGTTTGTCCCTCACAAAGGATTCCAGAGAACTGCCGCTGGTTTCTGAGTGTCCCTCACAAAGGATTCCAGAGAACTGCTGCTGGTTTCTGAGTGTTTGTCCCTCAGATAGGATTACAGAAAGCTTCTGAGAGTGTCTGAACGTTTGTCAATTAAATAGGATTCCAGAACACAGTGGCTAGGAACTCAGTGTTTGTCCCTCACGTAGGATTCCAGAACAATGCTACGAGCATCTGAATGTTTGTCCATTCCAAAGGATTCCAGAACACTGCTACTGGGATCTGAGTGTTTGTCCCTCACGTGGGACTCCAGAACACTGCTTCGAGGTTCTGAAAGTTTGTCCCTCACAAGGAATTCAAGAAAACAGCTGCTGGGTTCTGAGTCTTTGCCTCTAACATAGGATTCCAGAACACTGCTGCTGGGTTCTGAGTGTTTGCCCCTCACATGGGATTCCAGAACACTGCTGCTGGGTTCAGAGTATTTGTCCCTCACATAAGATTCCAGAACACTGCTGAGAGGTTCTGAATGTTTCTACCTCACAAAGGATTACAGAGCACTGCTGCTGGTTTCTGAGTATTTGTCCCTCACATAGGATTCCAGAACACTTCTAAGAGTGTCTGAAAGTTTGTCCCTCAGACAGGATTCCAGAACCCTGCTTCTTGGTTCTGAGGGATTGTACCTCACTTAGGATTCCGAAACACTGCTGCTGGGATCTGAGTGTTTGTCCCTTACATAGAATTCCAAAAAACTGCTACGAAGTTCTGAATGTTTTTTGCTCACATAGGATTCCAGAAAAATGTTGCTGCTTTCTGAGTGTTTGTCCCTCACGTAGGATTCCAGAACACTGCTGCGAGTGTCTGAATGTTTATCCCTCACTAAGGATTCCAGAACACTTCTACTGGGTTCTGAGTGTTAGTCCCTCATATTAGGTTCCTCGACAATGCTACAAGTGTCTGAATATTTTTCCCTCACATAGGATTCCAAAACACCGCTGTTGGGTTGTGTTTGTTTGTCCTTCACAAAGGATTCCAGAGCACTGCTTCAGGTTTCTTAGTGTTTGTCCCTCACATAGGATTCCAGAACACTTCTACGAAAGTCTGAATGTTTGTCCCTCAGATAGTATTATAGAACACAGTGGCTGGGTCCTGAGTGTTTGTCCCTCATAAAGTATTCCAGAACACTGCTGCTGGGTTCTGAGTGTTTGTCCCTCACATAGGATTCCAGAACACTGCTTCGAGCGTCTGAACGTCTGTGCCTCACAAAGGATTCTAGAACACTACTGCTGGTTTCTGAGTGTTTGTCACTCACATAGGATTCCAGAACACTACTGCTGGTTTCTGAGTGTTTCTTCCTCACATGTGATTCCAGAACACTGCTATGAACTTCTGAATCTTTGTTGATCACATAGGATTCCAAAACATTGCTGTTGGGTTCTGAGTGTTTTTCCTTCTCATAAGATTCCAGAACACTTTTACTGGGTTCTGAGTGTTTTTCCCTCATACTATTCCAGAACAATGCTACGAGGGTCTCAAAGATTTTCCCTCACAAAGGATTCCAGAATATTGCTGCTGGGTTCTGAGTGTCTGTCACTCACATAGGATTACAGAACGCTACTGCTGGGTTCTGAGTGTTTTTCCCTCACTTAGGATTCCAGAACACTGCTGCTGGCTTCTGAGTGTTGTCCCTCACATATGATTCCAGAACACTCATGCTGGGTTCTGAGTGTTTATCCCTCATATAGGATTCCAGAAGACTGCTACGGAGTTCTGAGCTTTTGTCCCTCACATAGGATTCCAGAACACTTCTACGAGTATCTGAATGTTTGTCCCTCAGATAGGATTCCAGAACACATTGGCTGGGTTCTCAGTGTTTGTCCCTCACATACGATACCAGAACACTGCTTTCAGGTTCTGAAGGTTTGTCCCTCACAAAGGATTCTATAACACTGCTTCTGGGTTCTGAGTGTTTTTCACTCACATGGGATTACAGAACACTGCTGCTGGGTTCTGAGTGTTTGTCCCTCACATGGGATTCCAAAACACTGCTTCTGGGTTCAGAGGGTTTCTTCCACACATACTATACCAGAACACTGCTATGAGGTTCTGAATGTTTGTCCCTCACAAAGGATTCCAGAACACTGCTGCTGGGTTCTGAGTGTTTGTCCCTCTCATAGGATTCTAGAACACTACTGCTGCGTTCTGATTGCTTGTCACTCACATTAATTACAAAACACTGCTGCTGGGTTCTGTATGTTTGTCCCTCTCAAAGGATTCCTGTGCACTGCTGCTGGTTTCTGAGTGTTTGTCCCTCACATAGGATTCCAGTACACCTCTAAGAGTCTCTGAACTTTGTCGATCACACAGGATGCCAGAACACTGCTGCTGGGTTCTCAGTGTTTGTCCATCACATAGGATTCCAGAACACTACTACTGGGTTCTGTTTGTTTGTCCGTCACAAAGCATTACAGATCACCGCTGCTGGGTCCTGGGTGTTTCTGCCTAACATAGGATTCCAGAACACTGCTTGGAGGGTCTGAATGGTTGTCCCTCAGAAAAGATTCCAGAACACGGCTGCTGGGTTTTGAGTGCTTGTCCCTCACAAAGGTTTCTAGAACATTGCTGCTGGGTTCTGAATGTTTGTCCCTCACAAAGGAATCTAGAACACTGCTGCTGGTTTCTGAGTATTTCTCCCTCACTTACGATTCCAGAACACTGCTGCTGGGTTCTGAGGGTTTTTCCCTCACATAGGATTACAGAACACTGCTGCTGGGTTCTGAGTGTTTGTCCCTCACATATGATTCCAGAACACGGCTGCGAGGGTCTGAATGTTTGTCCATCATAAAGTATTCCAGAACACTGCTGCTGGGTTCTGAGTGTTTGTCCCTCACATAGGATTCCAGAACACTGCAACGACGCTCTGAATGTTTGTCCATTCCAAAGGATTCCAGAACAGTGCTGTTGGGTTCTGAGTTTTTGTCCCTTTCATAGGATTCCAGAACAAAGTTTTGAGGTTCTCATTGTTTGTCCCTCACAAAGATTTCTGGAGTACTACTGCTGGCTTGTGTTTGTCACTCTCATAGGATTCCAGAAATCTACTGCTGGGTTCTGAGTGTTTGTCCCTCACGTTGGATTCCAGAACACTTCTACAAGTTTCTGAATGTATGTCCCTCGGATAGGATTCCAGAACACAGTGGCTGGGTTCTGCGTGCTTGTCCCCCACGTAGGATTCCAGAATACTGCTGTGAATATCTGAATGTTTCTCTCTCACATAAGGTTTCAGAACACTGCAGCTGGGTTATGAACCTTTGTCAATCACATAGGATTATAGAAAACTGCTACGAGAGTCTGAATGTTTGTCCATCCCAAAGGATTCCACAACACTGCTGCTGGTATCTGAGTGTTTCTCCCTCACATAGGATTCCACAATCTTGCTTCCATGTTCCGAATATTTGTTCCTCATAGAGGATTCTAGAACACTGCTGCCAGTTCTGAGGGTTTGTCACTCACATAAGATTCCAGAACACTGTTGAAGGGTTTTGAGTGTTTATCCCTCACGTTGGATTCCAGAACACTGCTGCTGGGTTCAGAGTGATTGTCCCTCACATACAATTCCAAAACAATGCTATGAGGTTCTGAAAGTTTGTCCTTCACAAAGGATTCCAGAACACTGCTTCTGGGTTCTGAGAGTTTCTCCCTCACTTAGGATTACAGAACACTACTGTTGGGTTCTGAGTGTTTGTCCGTCACATAAGATTCCAGAACACTGCTGCTGGGTTCTGAGTGTTTGTCCCGCACATGGGATTCCAGCACACAGCTACGAAGTTGTAAATCTTTATTGATCACGCAGGATTCCAAAACACTGCTGCTGGATTCTGAGTGTCCTCACATAGGAATCCAGAGCACTGCTGCTGGGTTCTGAGTGTTTGTCCCTCACATAGGATTCCAGAACACTGCTACGAGGGTCTGAATGTTTGCCCATCACAAAGGATTCCAGAACACTGCGGCTGGGTTCTGAGTGTTTGTCCCTAACATAGGATTCCAGAGCACTGCTGTTGGTTTCTGAGTGTTTGTCCCTTACATAGGATTCCAGAACCCTTATATGAGTGTCTCAATGTTTGTCCCTCAGATAGGATTCCAGAACACAGTGGCTGGGTTCTGAGTGTTTGTCCCTCACATAGGATTCCAGAACACTGCTATGAGGGTCTGAATGTTTGTCCATCACATTGGATTCTGGAGCACTGCTGCTGGGTTCTGAGTGTTTGTCTCCCACCTGGGATTCCAGAACACTGCTTCGAAGGTCTCACTGTTTGTCCCTCACAAAAGATTCTAGAGCACTGCTGCTGGCTTCTGAGTGTTTTACTCTCACATAGGATTCCAGAAAACTGCTGCTGGGATCTGCGTGGTTGTCCCTCACATGGGATTCCAGAACACTGCTGCTGGGTTCTGAGTGTTTGTCACTCACATACGATTCCAGAACACTGCTGACGGGTTTTGAGATTTTGTCTCTCATATGGGATTCTAGAACACTGCTGCTGGGTTCTGAGGGTTTGTCACACATAGGATTCCAGAACACTGCTAGGAGGTTCCGTATGTTTGTCCCTCACATAGGATTCCAAAACACTGCTGCTGGGTTCCGTATGTTTGTACCTCACAAAGGATTCCTGAGCACTGCTGCTGGTTTCTGACTGTTTGTCCCTCAGAAAGGATTCCTGAACACAGTGGCTGGGTTCTGAGTGTTTGTTCTCCACATGGGATTCCCAAATACTGCTACGACGTTCTGAATGCTTGTCTCTCACATAGGATTTCAGAACACTGTTGCTGGGTTCTGAAGGTGTGTCCCTCACGTAGGATTCTGGAACACTGCTCTGGGTCCTGAGATTTTGACCCACTTATAGGATTCCAGAACACTGCTATGAGGGTCTCAATGTTTTTTCCTCACAAAGTATTCCAGAACACTACATCTGGGTTCCGTTTGTTTGTGCCTCACAAAGGTTTCCAGAGCACAGCTGCTGGTTTCTGTGACTTTGTCCCTCACGAAGGATTCTTGAACACTTCTACTAGTGTCTGAATATTTGTCCCTCAGATAGGAATGCAGAACACATTGGCTGAGATCTGAGTGTTTGTCCCTCACTTAGAATTCCAGAACACTGCTGCTGGGTTCTGAGTGTTGTCCCTCACATAGGATTCCAGAATCCTACTGATGGGTTCTGAGTGTTTGTCACCCACATAGTATTCCGGAAGAATGCTGCTGTGTTCTGAGTGTTTGTATCTGACATAGGATTCCAGAAAAATGGTGCTGTCTTCTGAGTATTTGTCCAACACATAGGATTCCAGAACACTGCTGTTGCATTCTGAGTGTTTGTCCCTCATATAGAATTCCAGAACTCTGCTGCTGGGTTCTGACTGTCTGTCCCTCACATACGATTCCCGAACACTCCTAGGAGGTACTGAATGTTTTTCCCTCACATAGGTTTCCAAAACACAGCTGCTGGATTCTGTATGTTTCTCCCTCACAAAGGATTCCTGAGCACTGCTGCTGTGTTCTGAGTGTTTGTTCCTCACATAGGAATCCGGAACACTTCTGTTGCTTTCTTAGTGTTTCTCCCTCAAATAGGATTCCAGAACACTACTACGACGGTCTGAATATTTGTCCATCACAAAGGAATCCAGAACACTGCTGCTGGGTTCTGAGTGTTTGTCCCTAACATAGGATGCCAGAACACTGCTTCGAGGGTCTCAAGGTTTGTCCCTCACAAAGGATTCTAGACAACTGCTGCTGCCTTCTGAGTGTTTGTCACTCACATAGGATTCCGGAAAACTGCTGCTGGTTTCTGAGTGTTTGTCCCTCACATGGTATTCCAGAAGACTGCTGCTGGGTTCTGAGTGTTTGTCACTCACATAGGATTCCAGAACACTGCTGTTGGGTTCTGAGTGTTTGTCACTCACATAGGATCCAGAACACGGCTGCAGGGATCTGAGTGTTTGCCCCTCACATAGGATTCCAGAACATGGCTGCTGGGTTCTGAATGTTTGTCCCTCCCAAATGATTCCTGGGCACTGCTGCTGGGTTTTGAGTGTTTGTCTCTCACATTGGATTCGTGAACACTGCTACGAAGTTATGAATCTTTGTCACTCACACGGCATTCCAAAACACTGCCTCTGGGTTCTGAGTGTCTGTCCCTCAAAAAGGATTCGATAACACTGTTACGAGGGTCTTTATGTTTTTCTCTCAGAAAGGATTCCAGAACACTGCTCTTGGGTTCTGTTTGTTTGTCCCTCAAAAAGGACTCAGAGCATTGCTGCTGGATTCAGAATGTTTGTCCCTCACATAGGATTCCAGAACACTTCGACGAGTGTCTGAATGTTTGTCCCTCAGATAAGATTCCAGAACACAGTGGCTGTGCTTTGAGTGCTTGTCTTTTACATAAGATTCCAGAACACTGCTATTAAGTTTTGAATATTTGTCACTCACATAGGATTGAAGAACACTGCTGCTGTGTTCTGTGCTTTTATTCCTCACATAGGATTCCAGAACACTGTTGCTGGGTTTTGAGAGTTTGTCCCTCACATAGGATTCCAGAACACTACTACGGGGATCTGAATGTTTTTCCCTCACAAACGATTCCAGAACACTGCTGCTGGCTTTGTTTGTTTATCCTCACAAAGGATTCCAAAACACAGCTGCTGGTTTCTGGGTGTTTTTCCAACACATAGGATTCCGGAACACTTATATGAGTGCCTGAATGTTTGTCTCTCTGATAGGATTCCAGAAAACAGCGGCTGGGTTCTGACTGTTTGTCCCTCCTATAAGATTCCAGAACACTTCTGCTGGGTTCTGAGTGTTTGTCCCCAACATAGGATTCCACAACACTGCCACTGGGTTCTGAGTGTTTGTCCCGCACCTGAGATTCCAGAACACTGCTACTAAGTTCTGAATCTTTGTCGCTCACACAGGATTCCAAAACACTGCTGCTGGGTTCTGAGTGTTTGTCCCTGACATAGGATTCCAGACCACGGCTGCTGGGTTCTGAGTGTTTGTCCCTCACATGGGATTCCAGAACACTGCTGGTTGGTTCAGAGTGTTTGTCCATCACATAGGATTCCGGAACGCTGCTGCTGGGTTCTGAGTGTTTGTCCCTCCATAGGATTCCAGAACACTTCTGCTAGGTTCTGAGTGTGTGTCCCTCACATAGAATTCCACAACACTGCTGCTGGATTCTGAGTGTTTATCCCTCACATAGGATTCCAGAACACTGCTATAGGGTTCTGAGTGTTTGCCCCTCACATAGGATGCCAGAACACTGCTACGAGTGTCTGAATGTTTGTCCTTAACAAAGGATTCCAGAACACTGCTGCTGGGTTCGGACTGTTTGTCCCTCACGTAGGATTCCAGAACATTGCTTCGAGTGTCTGAATGTTTGTCCCTCACAAAGGATTCTGCAACATTGCTGCTGGGTTCTGAGTGTTTCTCACTGATATAGGATTCCAGAACATGGCTGCTGGGTTCTGAGTGTTTGTTCCTCACATGGGATTCCAGAACACTTCTGCTGGGTTAAGAGTGTTTGTCACTCACACAGAATTTCAGAAAACTGCTAAGAGGTTCTGAAGGTTTGTCCCTCACACAGGATTCCAGAACACTTCTGCTGGGTTCTGAGTGTTTGTTCCTCACATAGGATTCCAGAACACTGCTGCTGGGTTCTGTTTGTTTGTCCCTCACAAAGGATTACAGAGCACTGCTGCTGGGTTCTGAGTGTTTGTCTCTCACTTAGGAATCCAGAGCAATGCTGCTGGTTTCTGAGTGTTTGTCCCTCACATAGGATTCCGAAACATGGGTGCTGGGTTCTCAGTGTTTGTCCCTCACATAGGATACCAGAAAACTGCTGCTGGGTTCAGAGTGTTTGTCCCTCACATAGGATTCCAGAACACTGCTAGGAGGTTCTGAGAGTTTGTCCCTCACAATAGACTCCACAACACTGCTGCCGGGTTCTGAGAGTTTGTCCCTCACGTAGGATTCCAGAACACTGCTTCGAGTGTCTGAAGGTTTGTCCCTCACAAAGGATTGTAGAACACTGTTGCTCGGTTCTGAGTGTTTGTCCCTCACATGAGATTCCAGAAGACTGCTGCTGGGTTCTGAGAGATTGTCCCTCACAAAGGATTCCAGAACACTGCTGTTGGGTTCTCTTTGTTTTTCCTCACAAAGGATTCCACAGCACCACTGCTGGTTTCTCAGTGTTTGGCCCTCACGTAGGATTCCAGAACAATTCTAGGAGTGTCTGAATGTTTGTCTCTCAGATAGTACTCCAGAACACAGTGGCTGCGTTCTGAGTGTTTGTCCCTCACATAGGATTCCAGAACACTGCTGCTGGGTTCTGAGTGTTTGTCCCTCACACAAGATTTCAGAACACTGCTGCTGCGTTCTGAGTGTTTATCCCTCACATAGGATTCCAGAACGCTGATACTGGGTTCTGAGTGTTTGTATCTCACATGGGATCCTAGAACACACCTATGAGGGTCTAAAAGTTTGTCCATCACAAAGGATTCCAGAACACTGCTTCTGGGTTCTGAATGTTTGTCCTTCACATATGACTCCAGAACACTGTTTCGAGTGCCTGAGTGTTTGTCGCTCACATATGATTCCAGAACACAGTGGCTGGGTTTTGAGTGTTTGTCTCTCACATAGGATTTCAGAACACTGCTACGAGGTTATGAATGTTTGTCCCTCACAAAGGATTCCAGAACACTACTGCTGGGTTCTGAGTGCTTGTCCCTCACATAGGATTCCAGAACACTGCTGCTGGGTTCAGTTTGTTTGTCCGTCACAAAGGATTACAGAGCACTGCTGCTGGGTTCTGAGTGTTTGTCCCTCACATAGGATTACAGAACATTGCCGCTGGGTTCTGAGTGTTTGTACCTCCCATAGGATTCCAGAACACTGCTGCTGGGTTCTGAGTGTTTGTCCCTCACATTGGATTCGTGAACACTGCTATGAAATTCTGAATCTTTGCAGCTCACACGAGATTCCAAAACACTGCTGCTGCGTCCTGAGTGTTTGTCCCTCCCATAGGATTCCAGAACACTGTTAGGAGGGTCTTAATGTTTTTCTCTCAGAATGGATTCCAGAACACTGCTGCTGGGTTCTGTTTATTTGTCCCTCACAAAGGACTCCAGAGCACTGCTGCTGGATTCTGAGTGTTTGTCCCTCACGTAGGATTCCAGAACAATTCTACTAGTGTCTGAATGTTTGTCCCTCCGATAGGATTCCAGAACAGTGGCAGGGTTTTTAGTGTTTGTCCCTCACATAGGATTCCAGAACATTGCTACGAAGTTATGAATGTTTGTCGCTCACATAGGATTCCAGAACACTGTTGCTGTATTCTGTGTGTTTGTCTCTCACATAGGATTCCAGAACACTGCTGATAGGTTCTGAGAGTTTTTCCATCACATAGGATTCCAGAACATTGCTACGAGTGTCTGAATGTTTTTCCCACACAAATGATTGCACAACACTGCGGCTGGTTCTGTTTGTTTTTCCGCTGAAATGATT